>NW_019805503.1:0-163186 GCF_000001405.40 Homo sapiens | reverse complement strand
AACCCAGTGTCTCATACACAAAGTGGCGACTGTCCTACAGCAGTGGTGGCATCCAGTATTGCTACTGGCAGTGGTTCCAGAGCCCAAGGCAGTGGTGTTTTCTCTAGACTCACCTAATGGCATGATTCAACTGAAGTTTTAGTTACTTGGGTTCCACCGTGTTTTGTCCACTTTGAAACATGTTTCTTCAGCCTTCCTATTGAGTCTGTGAGATTTCTGAGATTCTTTAGTTAACAGAGCAGTTTAAGCAGAACTCAGACTAGAACAGATGGAAAGAGAATTTCAAAATAAAATCTCAGTCAATAAAAATCCAGAACATACAGGGAAGAAAATGTTTTCAGATATTCCCTGGTCATTCTTCTAATCTAGTTACCCTATGTTAATTTTCCAAATAACTTCTTCAGTTAATCACCTCCATAGTCGTTATGAACCTTGAGCAGCAGAATATTAAATCATTCCAATTGTTTCCCCAGCCTTGATCAAGAGCTGTGGTTCTCATTCAACTTCTACAAGCCTGTGTTTGTAGGTTTTGGGATAGACAATATTTAGTGCAATCTATTTGTGAACAATAAAATAAAAGAAAAGATACACAGTGAGGTTTCAAGTATAACAGAAACTTAATAAATATTGTTCACTGTCAAAATCAGTGGGCTAAAGAAAAACAAAAACCCCAGACTTTAGAATACCTAAGGCACTTAGTGGTGGGAAATTATTTTAGTATATTTTAAACATCCAAAAGGAACTATTTTTTCAATTATGTATTCTTCTCTTACAGATGTATTTCAAACTTCCCTTGAACTTTCTCCAGTAAGTATAATTGTGTGCTTGTTGTCAACCCGGCCTTAGTCCTTGTCATTACAGGTTCAGTAGCTGCAAAGGTGAAATGTTTTGACAAATATTGAACGTCATCTATTTTATACTCTGGATCAGCATGGATGTTTTTTAGCTTCTTCAGACGGCTCTGTAATGGAGTTATATTTGGAAGTTTCCCAGTATGGTGCAAAAAGCCTCATAGAGAGAGGAAGTTTATAAACTGCAGTTCTACGCGAAGAAGAAAGACCAGATGCTCATCCTGCATGACTCCTCCTTGAGCCTTTGTATTTTCCCAGCTAGACCTTTCAGGCTTCCTATTTATACATTTATCTCAAGTATACCGAGTGGTGACAAAGATGCGAATCGGCCAGCACATTTTCACTCAGTGTAGAGAGAAGCCATTTAAAGACTGAGATAACATTTCAAGAAAACAATAAAACCTGACAATAAGGGAAGATGAGAAAAAAGGAACATTCCTGACTGTGGTTCTGACATTCACAATGTTTCCATCTGTTTGTTTCACTGAAATGATGTTCTCCCGTTCCTGTTTGGCTTATTAAAAAGTGTATAGGTTAAAAGATCTGTTAAAAATGGTCCATATCTGTAAAATTGTCTGGAAAGATCCACAGAAAGTTACAAGTTTTTTTCCTCTGGCTGCAAATGAAAAATAACATATGAAGATCGTTTTAAAAAATTTATTCAATTACTTCCAGTGTTATTTTATGACCCAGTTATATATCAATAAAATTAATAGGAAAATTATATCATATAACTTTTAAGAGTCGTTCATTATTTAAACAGAGCAGTCAACATTGGGAAGCTACCAGTTTAAGGAAAAAAGTTACTTAAGGTTATTTCTATAAGTACATTATAGAGTGTATTACTGAGTGTTCTGTTACACTGACAGTTGTAGTGACATTTACAAATCCTAAAGTTAAATTATATCAGTTTTACCTATACATTTGGAGTGATCCATGAGAATGATAGTTCATGGGTGATAAATTCTCTTCCCAATACTGTATGGAGCATATCAAGAGTCATCTCCTATTAACTTTATTCTCCTAATCAAAGAGTGAATTCTACTGTTTAACCCTAAATCTAGCTATATGTGGAATTGAGATATTTTTATTAGATTAGTTGTTATGTTGGTTAGTAGCACTTATTATTTGCCAAGCATTACTCTAAGCATTTCATATATGTAACTATATATATAATAGAGTATTTTATATATATAACTATATATAATAGAGTATTATATATAACTATATATGAGTTATATTTCTATAATCAGTTTGCTTCTCACAACAACCCTAGAAAATAGGTCTGTAACTATTCCCATTTTACAGATGTGAAAATTGAGGCAAAGAAGTGAAGTAATGTCGCTAAATTTACAAAGTAAGTGGCAAAGAAAGGATCTGAATCCAGGCTGTTTCCAGAATCTGTATTCTTAACCACTATACTTCATTGCCTCCAGTTTTTGAAAATTAGCCTTAAGATAATTTTATTCAGTCTTCATGTGTTTCAAATATAATGTCATGTTTTTGTCCAAGAATATTATTTGTTTGTTTTAATCTCAACTTATATCTATACCCGATGCTAGTTTTGTGACATTACACTTCCCTTTAATGGAAGGTACAATATAGCAAAGACAATGTCCAATCCTAGGGATATTAATGCAGAGGACCATTATGTCAATTAGGAGGGTGCATAGCTATGAGTGACAAAAAGCCAAAAGTGATAGTGAATTAAACAAGATGTTTATTTCTCTCTTATGAAAAAGATGACTGGAGGTTGGAAGTTCAGGTCTGATGGAAAAAATCACAGTTTCACAAAATCATCAGGGACCCAAATTCCTTCTAGGCTGCCACTTTGCTTTCCACAGCACTTGGCTTCCATTGCGTGGCTCAGGATGTTATCCCAGTTCCAGCCATCACAGGTAAAACGAGGAAGGGTTGAAAAAAGGCAATTAAAGGCATTTCCCAGAAGTAATACATTCTACTTTTGCTTGCATCCCATGAATTATAAATTAGTAACAGGCACACATCTAGATTCAAGGAAGGCTGGTTATGCATTTATTTACACAGCCGTGTGCCCATCTAAAATTGGGGGTTCTATTCTAGGAGAGAAAGGGTGAGCAGAGAGCAGGTCTAAAGGGACATCTAGTCATTTCTGCTACATTCAGGACCTAACTCTTAGTTTCCATTTTTCACTCTGAAAATGGTGAATTCTATAAACTTCTCTAATTGTTAAATTTCATAACTTAACATTTTATTATCTTAAACATAGTCGATTCCTTTGGTTATATTTTTCCAACCTCCTTCTTCATAAATCCTTGTGCAGTTGAAAGATAATCCGAGGCACAAATCGTCACTACTTACCATTATCGAACAAAGACTTTTCCCTCCCAAATGCTACTAGACTCCTATCATTTACCCTGCCACTCTGCTTTTGAATTGGAGGAACTTTTACAGTTTATAAAATACTTTTTGCCTCCTCCTCTTACCTGAATCTAACATTGCCATGGTCTCTTGATGCCTTGTAAGAAAGTGAACTTAATCAATAAATGATGTGTTTATTCTGACTGCTCCACTGACCAGTTTGTTTCCCCATCTCTCTCCCTCTCCTCAGGCCTCCCTATCCCCTGAGACACAGCAATATTAAGATAAAGCCACATAATAACCCTACAATGGCCTCTAAGTGTTCAAGTGAATGGAAGAGTTATTTATCTCACTTTACACCCAAAACTAGAAATGATAAAACTTAGTGAGGAAGAGATATTTAAAGGTGAGATAGGTCAAAGCTTGGCCTCTTGTGCAAACCGGTTAGCCAAGCTGTGAATGCAAAGGGAAAGTTCTTGAAGGAAATTAAAAGCACTACTTCAGTGAACACACAAATGATGAGAATGCAAAATAGCCTTATTGCTGCTAAGGAGAAAGTCTGAATGGTCTGGATAGAAGATCAACCAGCCATAACATTCCCTTAAGCCAAAGCCCAATGCACAGCAAGACCCTAACTCTCTTCAATTCTCTGAAGTCTGAGAGAGGTGAGGAAGCTGCAGGAGAAAATTTTGAAGCTAACAGAAATTGATTCATAATGGTTAAGGGAAGAATTTATCTCCACAACACAAATGTGTAAGGTGAAGGAGCAAGTGCTGATATAGAAGCTGCAACAAGTTATCCAGAAGATCTAGCTAAGATAATTAACAAAGGTGACTACACTAAGCAATACATTATCAATGTAGATGAAATAGCCTTATTTTGGAAGAAGATGCCATCTAGACATTCTAGGACTCTCTAGCTAGAGAGGAGAAGTTAATGCCCGGGTTCAAAACATCAAAGCACACCCGACTTTCTTGTTGGGAGCTAATGTAGCCGGTGACTTGAGGTTGAAGCCAGTGCTTATTTACCATTCTAAACATCCTAGAACTCTTAAAATTATGCTAAATCTACTCTGCCTGTACTGTATAAATGGAACAACAAAGCCTGGATAACAAACAGCTTAAAGAGTGGTTTCCTGAATGTTTTAAGCCCACCGTTGAGAACTACTTCTCTTCAAAATATTACTACTAACTGACAGTGTACACAGTCACCCAAGAGCTCTGGTAAAGATGTACAGAGAGATTAATGTTGTTTCCATGTCTGCTAACACAACATCCATTCTGCAGTACATGGATCAAGGAGTAGTTTGACTTTCAAGAGTTATTATTTAAGAAATATATTTTGTAAGGGTATACCTGCCACAGATAAGTGATTTATCTGATAGAACTAAACAGTCTATTGAAAATCTTCTGGAAGCAATCAGGCAAGAGAAAGAAAGAGAGAGCATCCAAATAGGGAGAGAGGAAGTAAAATATCCCTGTTTGGAGACAACATGATTCTATATCTAGAAAACACCATCATCTCCACCCAAAAGCTCCTTCAGCTGATAAACAACTTTAGCAAAGTATCAGGATACAAAATCAATATACAAAAATCATTAGCATCCCTATACACCAACATCAACCAAGCTGACAGCCAAATCAGGAATGCAGTCCCATTCACAATTGCCACAAAAAGAATAAAATACCTAGGAATACGACTAACTAGAGAGGTAAAAGATCTCTACAAGGAGAATGACAAAACACTGCTCAAAGAAATCAGAGATGACACAAACAAATTGAATAACATCCCATGCACATGAATAGGAAGAATCAATGTCATTAAAATGGACATACTGCCCAAAGCAATTTACAAATTCAATGCTATTCCTATCAAACTACCAATAACATTCTTCAAATAAGTAGAGAAAACTATTTTAAAATCCATATGGAACCCAAAAAGAGCCTGAATAGCCAAGACAATCCTGAGCAAAAAGAACAAAGCTGGAGGCATCATGTTACCTGACATCAAACTATTCTACAGGGTTACAGTAACAAAAATATCAAGGTATTGGTAGAAAAACAGACACATAGACCAATGGAACAGAAAAGAGAACCCAGAAATAAGGCCACACCCACCAACTGATCTTGGACAAAGCTGAAAAAAAACAAGCAATGGGGAAAGGACTCCTTCTTCAGTAAATGGTGCTGGGATAACTGGCTAGCCATAAATCTACTCCTGGTGAAGACACTGTGAACTTTGTTGAAATGGCAACAGAAAATCTAGAATATTACATCATTGTAGTTGATAAAGCAGTGGCAGGGTTTCAGGATTGACTTCACTTTTGAAAAAAAGTTCTACTGTGAATAAAATGCTATCAAACAGCATCGCATGGTACAGAAAAATCTTTCGTGAAAGGAAAAGTTAATTGATCTGGCAAACTTCACTGTGTCATTTTAAGAAATTGCCATGCCAATCCAGTCTTCAGCAACCCCATCCTGATCAGTCACCAGCCATCAACATCCAGGCAAGGCCCTCCACCAGCAAAAAGATTGCAACTCACCAAAAGCTCAGATGATTGTTAGCATTTTTTTTAGAAATAAAGTATTTTAAATTTAAGTATATACATTCTTTTTTTGGACATAAGTTATTACACACTTAACAGATTATAGAATAATGTAAACATAACTTCTATGTGCCCTGGGAAACCAAAAATTTTGTGTGACTTGCTTTATTGTGATATTTGCTTTATTGTGGTTTTCTGTATCTGAACTCACATTATCTGTGAGATATGCCTGTATATAGGTCTTGATAAAAATGCAGTTTCAACTAAGTTTGAGAAGTTGCATGCTCTACCTTGTAAATCAGTAAAATCCTCATTTGTTCATTAAGAAAAGGACTTAGTTCTGCAAATCTTAAAACCATAGACTGTCAGAAACTTTGATGTTTGATGCCAATTCACTAAGAATGGGACAGCCTACTCTTGCTTGAATGATATGAGTCTCTGGTGCATAGAGGCAGTCTTGCAGAGTTCCAGATAAGTGATTTATGGACACAGCATTTCATATTTATCTCACCATTGTGTTTTCCACAGAACCATAGACTTGAACCTGCCTTTCAGCCAAAGACTGAAATTAACCTCTTTACACACAGACCTGCTTTATTTTAAGCCAAATACTGCCTAATATAATGACCTAAACTCCTCACTTTTCCATCACCTTCCCCTCCCCCTATTCCTATAAGAACCTGATAGAGTTCTTTGTTGGAGAGAGGTATTCTAAGTTTCTTTTTCTGTGCTCTCCTTTATTGCAACATGTCATTAGACCCTAATTTTTTGAGCTACAGTTTTGTCCCCGAGAACCCGTAACAGACAGGCTTTTTAATGCCCTATCATGATGCTGAAATTCTGAGGTCAATAGATGTTATATTTTCTGAGCTGGTCCTATTTAGTTAGTCTACGACCCCAAGGAGTTAAAGCTACCCATCCAGCAAGTCCCAGTGTGAGTAAATGTATCCAGACAAAAATCATAAGTATGGAGAGTGGGGGGTGCTACCGTCAGCCCTTAGAGTTTGGAATTATACAGATGAGTTTCTATCTTGGCTCCAACCATTTAAATTATGTGCAATTGGTTATTATTTTTCCCTTTATTTTTCTCTTCTATAAAGTGGAAAGTATTAATACTTATTCACTGCATTGTTGTGAGGATAAAATGCAATTTATTTATTATAGATTTGAATGAGTGCTAGGTGGGTTTTATTTTTTGGTGTTGTGTGCTTCGTCTACAATGAAAGATAAATAAGGTCAAATATCCACATTTCCATTTATAAGTTTTTTTAATCTTAGGTAAGTTACTTTATCTCACTTTGCCTCATATGCAAAAAGGGAATAAGAAGAGAAATCTGACAAAGTTGGGTTATTAAGTGTGATAACATACTGAACATGTCTAGTATAGTATCTGGCAAGTAGCAGACATTTTATTAATGCTCGTTTTCTTTTTTCCCTACACTTCTTTTCCGATTATGCTTTGAAAAATGTGATAATTGAAAGGAGTACAATTTGAAGAGGACAGTATTTCATTTAACATGTGTCTTAGTCTGTTTGTGCTACTGTAACAAAAAAAGAACACAGTCTGGATATTTATAAGGAACATAACTTTATTTCCTATAGTACTGGAGGCTGGGAAGTCCAAGATGAAGGCACCAGCATGTTTAGTGGTCTGGTAAGGGCTTTTTCCATTGATGGCATCCTCTCCAGGCAGCATCCTCACATGACAGAAGGGGGAAGGGCAATAAAAAAGAGGGATTCTGCCTCTTCTCATGGCAGAAGAGATAGATGGAATGGCCAGTGGAACTTTAGGGTTCTCCCTTCAATCTCTTTTATAAGGTAACTAATTTCATTTATAAGGGCTCCATCATCATGACTTAATTATCTCCTAAAGGCCCCAGCTCTTAATACTATCACATTCAGGATTATGTATCAACATATGAATTTTAGGAGATATATTCAGATTATAGCAATATCCATCTGTTATATGGAAGTTGAGCTCTAGATAATAGGGTTTTCTCCTTGCTCACGTCCACATAATATGCCTCTAGCTACTGTCTACAGCAGTGATTTTTCCTATAGATGAGCAGTCATACGGATGGAACCCTTGCTGAAAGTGTTTCTGAGTCTTCTGATAACTGCACATATGTGTGTGTGGAGGGGGGTGTAGGTAGATGTGTTAGGGGCAGAGGTTGTGCTGATAGTCTCCTTTGCATTCCAGATATCAATTTAATTCCCCCGAGGTGAGAAGAGAAAAATTAGCCATTAGAAATCTTTCAGCAGTTTATATTTCAAGAGTTCTGGTAATAAATATAAATAGCAAAGTAGAAGACTAAACACAGTGCCTGATTAAAAATATTTTTGCTCTTTGCATTGGTTAGAATTTTAGGTTCTTACCTAGGATGTCCATGTGGATGTTTTCGTTTTCTTTTTAGATCCTTTGCTGCATGTATTCTGCCTTCCCTATTTCCAGGGACCTAAGACCCCTCACTCAGAATTAATAAAGGTCCAAGTGCACTCTTTTGTCATCTGTATTACATACACTTTTACTTGTCATATTTTCTGTGACTCAAAGGCATTCATGTGTATAAGTGTATATATATGTGTATACATCTATTAAACATAGCTTGAAATTAAAATTAATTATTATAAATCCTTCTCTTATGATATTTATTTTAAAAGTTGGAGCAAAGGTATCAACATCCTTCTTGAAAACAGAAATCTTATCTATTTTTGTGCCTGAATGCTTACTTTCCATTCTTAGATTTCTTTGTTTTGTTTTGCTTTGCTTTTTTTTTTTAGACTAAGTAAAAAGCAGGAGAACAAACCAACCAACAAAGACATAAGCTTCTGAATCACTTTAGTTCTTTTATTCCCAATTTGTGGAGGCAGTTCTGATTCCAAGATATCTTTTAGAGACCAAAGAAACTGAGAAAAACATGAGAGAAACTTTGGGTATATCACTATATATTATAAAACAGCCACTCTGATTCAAAATAATAGATGGGACCTTCAAGCAAGGTTTTGTGAGACTAACACACAAAGCAGAGAGAGTTTAGTTTATGAAACATCTCCATTTTATACTATAGCTTATGTGATATTTTCCAAGAAACCATTCTTTACGAGCCCATAGATTCTAGGAATCTGTAAGTAATTCTTAACCAGGAACATGCTGGAGAAGAAACTGAGCATTACAGGTGCCTTTGAGAGGATGGTATCTCACCCCCTAGTAATGCAGTTCAATAATTAGAACAAAATCTATTCAATAAAATTGGCCACTTAGAGGCCTCAGGAGGTGCAAATATGTGTACTAAGAGCAAAGTAGACATGTTCTCTGTAATATTGCCTCAAGAGATCCAAAAAAGTTCTCCCCTCTGTGGACTGAAGCTAAAACACGAGAAGGGACTATGCCTCACTCGTCCCCACTCCAAAAATCTATACCTTAGCTTGGAAATAGTCTGTTCTATGAAAAACATGACATCGCTGTCACAGTTTCACTGTTCACAATGCAGACTTATTGAACATTCTTGTCTGTTCTTGGTGCTGAGACAATACAAACAGTCATGAATGATGCAAGATTCAGAATGATGTTGTCCCACGACTTTTGTGTAGCTTCAAGTTTGCTGGCCTTTAATTTCTGCTGCCATAGAAACTGCCCTGAATAGCACAGACTCTCAGTGTTTTCCTGAAGGCAGAGTGACAACATATCTAAGGAGAGTGATACTGTCCCTATTACCATCAATCAATATTTATTGAACTCCAGCAGCCTGTCTTGAGCCACATTAGGAACTCTGTGCTGAGGCTTGCCCCCAGCTTGTGCGTGGTTGACCTGAGACCCAGGCGGTCAGACAGGTGAAATGAAGTGGCTCCAGAATATGACACAGCATTAAGGCTATAAATTCTGCAGAATTAGAGCTTTAGTCACTGAAGCAGTTAGAGCTTGGTGAAGATCTAAAAACACTCTAAATGTCAAGGTACGAACCAAAGGAATTTAGGGCTCATCAGAAATAGCAACATTGGAATTATGTACTTTTAGAGTACATGTGTTTGGCAGCTTCTTCTTTTGTTAATGTTCCTTACTGTGTTTTCTACTGTTTGGTATTTTAGATTCCTATTCTACGAATATCCTTTTGAATGTCTGGAGCCTTTGTTATTTACCAAGTGTTTTACAGAACCTCTCAACTTGAAGCATCTACAAGTCAGGATAAAGTTTCCGGATCAACTCCTTCTGTCGAGATTCATGTCTTAATTATGAATTGCGTCTTAATTATGATTCTGTCATAAGTCCTCTCCCCACATCTTCACTCTGTATTTCTGTATGTGGCCTGATTCCTGGAACAAAGTATCCCTCGGCAGCCTCAAATGTGGCTTTAGTCGTTCTTAAGTTTTTCCTTCTCTGAACTTATATCTCAGCTCTTGCATTTCACAACCCTTGGTTCTCTTGCTTTTTTTGTGTTTCTTCTCCCATGAAAAAATAAAAATTCAAGTAAAACAGCATCAAAACCCAGCATTATTCTCTGCCCATTTACTGTTTCTCTTGTGTATTATTTTCTTTCCTTTACTGATGTTATCTGTTTGGTCCTGACTTTTCTGATTCTATGAGTTAGTTAAATTGCTTCCTCCCCAGTGACGCTTTATCCCATTTCTAATATCTAGTTACTTACTTCCTCCCTTTTTCTGCTATATTTAAAAATATTCAATTATAGCATTTAATCCATTGTATTATATTATTTAAACGTCTCACTGCATTTTCCTGAGACCTCCTTCTTTGAAGTTTCTATATCTAGATCATTTATCCTGAAATCTGCTTTAAGCTCAGTGACTGGTATCAATACAGATATGTTTATTGAAAACAATGAACTGATAAAATATAGGATTTAACAAAGAAAACAAACCGATTTTCTCCAACCTTACTGTTTGTTCTTTTAGAGTAATGTACTACCTTACATCTATAATCTATTAGAGGTTAGAATCTGGATCCAAAATATCACTGTTGTTGACCTTATATGTCAGTGTATGATACCTACCCAACCAATATTAGTTTATATTAGGTCATATTAAGTCAGTTTATAATGTTGAAATTGTTAAACTTTCACAAAATAATGCCTGGATGCATTAAATGGTTCAATGGCTCCAATTCTTGGCAGCAAATAGTGACATTAGCGGAAACTATGAAATACCACTGTTGTATCCAGAAAGCTTGATTGCAAATATCATACCACTGCGTTTTAGTTTTTGTAGAGATATGAAGGTTTTGGCAATGGAGTAGAAGACTTGATATTTTGAGGCATTCTGCTAGCATATGAAGGACTAAAACCTTAGCTCATGGTGAGGTTTTTTGTTGTTGTTTTACCTAGTCCTGTTTCTCATTTTCCACATGGAGAAATCTAAGAAAAACAGGATTGTACATGTGTTCATCTATGGAAACTGTGTTGTTAACATTTTAATGACATTATCACATTATCTGCTACAATTTTTTTTTGGCATAGTCACCATTTCATTCTGACTAGAACAGATAAGGTACACAGCTTGAAGATTTCTTTTTTCTGTTTGAAAATTACATATATTTTTTTCAGGTTGGGACTGTTTGAACCAGAGTCAGACAACATAGAAAAAGACATCACCTTCTTCCATGTAGGTTGGCACTTAGTTAAGTCAAATAGGTAGCACTGTTTCAAGGATGGATTGGGCAATGTAGTAAAAAGACATAGCTTTTCAAAACATCTTATATGTCTTGACTGTGATTTCATCATTTATTGTGAAGTGCTGTGATACTCTTACATAGCTCTCTTACGCTCTTCAAATGTAAAACCTGGGACATTTCAAAGTTAAATAAGAATGGGAAGTTATTTGCTATTTTGGCTTATTTGCACCATTTTTATCCTTCACCTATATAAGTCAACATATTAAATACATTGCTGATAAGACACAAAGCTAAAAACCAGGGGGAAAATCAGAATTAGATATTAAACCTGAGTTTCTAATCTGTTGCCTAGTTACTGAGCCATGCTGTTTCCATAGTATATTTGTGTCACAATCATTAGCTCTAGCATTTACATTTGTAAGCTTATCTTTGTTTTCATTTTTCATAATAGTGCCAAGATATGCAGATTATTGCATTAGACTCAAATGATATCAAGCTCCTGAAATTTTCACTCTTTGTTTAAAAAAAATCCTAAAGTCCTTCCAAAAAATGTTTTAGCAAAATTTATAAATAGAGAAATAATGTTTCCCATGATGCAATTTTAGGTCCTAAATGAGAGGTAACATTTAAAATATGGCTATTGTTGTCAATTTATAAATATATAGTCTTTCAGGCCATTATATCATCTTGTTAAATATCTTTAGGCACTTTGAAATATATATTTTCTGAATGACCATATTTTTGAATATGTTGAAAGCACTCATCACCATATTTTACCAATAGGTTCCACTATGTTTTCTTGCCATGAAGACCCAGCTGCTTCTTTCTCTGAAACCTGCCAGAAGATTCATTATGGAGCCTTTCTTTTAATGCCTTTGTTCCCTTTCAGTTACATAATTCAGTAACAACTGCCATTCTTCTGTTGCCCTAAGGTGGTATTAAGAATTTGATGATTTGAACAACGTACTGTTTTCTCCTCCCCTCTCTACTGTTTTCTATAATGATTACTAAGCAAAAATATTTACATTTCAGGAAAGAAGAATTAATGAAAAATTAAGTACATAAGCCAAAGGGGGAAAATATGACAGTTGCACAAAGAGGATACTAAAAGCCCATTATCATCTTGCTGTGACCGGTAACCAATCATTGTGATTGACAGAGGGGAAAAGAAAAGTCTACCATGGCCAGTTTTCAACTATAAAAATAAAAGCAATTAAGAAAATTCTACATAGAACATTTTCTCTAAAATCTCAATAAATTTTAATGAAATTTATCATAAAAATAATTTCAGCCAAAGATTAAAAGTATGAATAATCCTTCGTTCAATCAGCAAATGCTCAAGAATGCCTACTATGTGTCAGGAATTGTCTTAGATATTGAGTATACAGTACTGAGTGGATGGACAAAGTCTTTGACCTCATAAAGTTTAGTATATAGCTATATTTGATATTATATGGTTATTTTTATGCCTTTGTCAGTATTTAGGTTTTCAGTTGCCATTTTTAAAGAGAACTGGAGTCTAAGAAGGGAAGGAAACATTGACCTACCTCCAATTCACCCATCTTTGATCTTCCAACAATCTCTTGCAATCCCTCGTTTATACAAAATAGGGTTTCCTGTGTCTTCAGCGAAATATTTCTTCTGTATTTAATAAATGAAAATAAAAAAGAAATCTGGAAAAAATGAATAAGAAAAGACTAGTCACATTTACATTAAGTATAATACCGACATGCTAGTGATGAGTGTGTTTTTGTTGGCCTCTGCTTTAAACTCCTAATAATCAAGGTTATTGTTACTACCTTTCTGAAACTGAGAAAGGAGTCCCTCCTTCCATTCTTTCTTTTTAACAATAATTCTGCTGCTATGCAAATTAACAAATTTATAGCCAAATAAGCAAATAAAGAAAAATGATAATAATACCACCCACAGGTATTTGTTTGTCTCATGATGTTTACCTCTATTATTCATCAAAATATTAAAAGAAATACCTGCCCTCAAGACATTCTTAATCTAATTGTGAATTATAATATATATACTATAAAGATACAGAATCCCCAGATGATCTGTATCAGGAGAAAAGATATCAATGTCAATTAATTTGGGTTACTGTGGTCAGGGAATACCTCACTGAAGACATGAAATGTAACCTGATTCTTAAGGGCTAGATAAAAATAAAACTGCTGAATCTTTGAAGATAATAAAATTAGTTAGAAACAAGGTATAAGAATTCACAACGTTCTCCAAGAGCAGTGCAGTAGCTCCCCCCTTATCCACAGTTTCACTTTCTGTAGTTTATCAGCAGCCAACCGTGGTCTAAAAATATTAAACAGAAAAGTTCAGAAATAATTTATAAGTTTTCAATTGCATACTGTTTTGAGTAGCATGACATCGCGTCTTCCTACTTTGTTCTACCTGGGATGTGAATCATCCCTTGATTCAGTCTATCCATGCTGTCTACACTGCTTGGCCACTTGTCACTTAGTAGCTGTCTAGATGATCAGATCGACTGTCACAATATTGTAGTGTTTGTGTTCAAGTCACCTTTATTTGACTTAATTATGTCCCCAAAGTGTAAGAATAGTGATGCTGGCATGTTGCTGTCACTGTTCTATTTTATTATTAATTATTGTTTTTAATATCTTACTGTGCCTAATTTATAAATTAAACTTTATCATAAGTATGTATATATTGGTCTTGGATTTAATATGATCCATGATTTCAAGCATCCACTGGGGGTCCTGAAATGTATCTCTCATGATTAAGGGGAGACTACTGTAAAAAGAATAGTCTAGTATACGATGGGTGGTAGGAATTGGAGTTGAGTGTAGACATCACTTTATAGTTGCTATTGAACTTAAATCTATAGATAACAGAGAATCGGTAAAAGTTGTTGAAAAGAAAATGATGAATGAAAGTGACTTCAGCTCTATAAGATAAATTAGCATATAGCTACACTAAAGGCTAGGGACAACATAGGGAAGTATAACAATAGTTAGGCTGAAGATAATAAATCCAGCATAGTGTTAGTAGTAGTAGAAATAACATATGGGTTTGGGAGATGTTAGGAAAGAAAAAAATGACTGTACTTGACTAATTTGGTAAAGGATAAAGTTTGAAACTGATTAACTGAGCAATATCGAGGATTTACTCAATCAACTAGAAGAAAATAGTAAAACTGCAGTGATCCATTACTTCCTTCCAACAGGTTGTTTCTTTAATGGAATAGTAGAAATAACATCATAGGATAAGAATTATGTTAATTAACATCTCTTTAGCCCTTTCCTGTTTTCTTTACATGTTAGTTTCTTTATCACCTTCTTCTTAATGCAATACATAAGAGTTGGTAAGCTCTACCAAGATTAACATTATTCTTCTGACCTTAAACTGAACATTGTATTAGAAGTGTCTGTTCCAGCCAGTACAATGAGGCAGCTAGATAAAAAAATGATCCTTCTTAATGTTATTGTTCGAATGGCGTACACTCTGGTCTTAAAGAATCATGAATTATCCTTTCTGGAGACAGTCCTGAAATAGTCCTCAAATAAGCCACTCATATTCTAATTAATATGCACAATGGTTCTGACATTTGGTAAAAGCTTTATTTAAGTGGACCACAGTCAGCTGCAACTCAGCCAGGTTGGGGACTACAAGTTCTCATTTGATCACATTTTAAATCGGACATAAATAATGAAAACTCAAATGGAGCCTTAAATGGCTGTCTTTTTATATCAACCCAGAAGTTCATTTTAATACTCATCATATACTATCAATTATCTTGCTAAGATATGAGTGGAGGATTCGTATTCTAAAAGACATGTCTAAATCTTACAATGTATCCAAGTTTGTTAGAAAACAATGCTTTTGTGTATAGAATTGTAAACTAAGCAATGTTAATTTTTTAAAAGTTGAACAACATTTTATATTGTGAAAGTTTAATTTACTTAGAAAGAAAATGCCGCTCTTTTACTGATAATTAAAACAATGAAACAATTTCAATTGCAGAAATGTTGGAAGACAATTTCCAACGAATTGTTAATTAAATTTTCTTTGTCATTGCTCTTTTTTATTAAACTCTGATGTATTGCAGATATCCACACCTTACCAATATTCGAATGTGCATGCTGGATAAGCTTGGACACATCTGGAGTCCATAGGTACATACATTAAAAGTTTATAACTCTGTGTACTAATTTTTTTATTGGCATTTTTCTCATCAGTAATGATTCTCCAAAACCATGATTTTTCCTGGTTACATAATATTCAATTGTATGAATATACAATTCTCCTAATCTTTGTTTTGTTTGTTTGTTTGTTTGTTTTGAGACAGGGTCTCACTCTACCACCCAGGCTGGAGTGCAGTGATGTGATCATGGGTCCCTGGAGCCTCGACCTCCCAGGCTCAGGTGATCCTCCCACCTTAGCCTCGTGGGTAGCTGTGGCTACAGGCATGCTCCACCAAGCCTGGCTAATTTTTTGTAGTGATAGGGTTTCATCATGTTACCCAGGCTGGTATCAAACTCTTGGGTCAAGTGATCCTCCCTCCTTGGCCTCTCGAAGTGTTGGGATTACAGGTGTGAGCTACTGCAACCAGCCCAATTCTCCTAATCTTGCTCATTAGATTTGATTTTTATTTCACTGTTTCTAGTTGTATAAATGTATTCATATATTTTATAACTCAAGAAGTGCATATTATGTAAAACTGTGTTAATTAAATCTTAATATAATAAAATCTTAATATAATACTACCAAGTGCAGACTCTTATCTTTCTCTTTAACAAAACTGTGTACCCAAAACTTGCTGAAGTGTCACAGTGTGGATAGTAGAGGTGGTGGCTGAACCAATGAGCTCTGACTTGAAAGAATGCATATTTCACTAACATGCATCCCTTTATGTGAATGAACTAAAAGCACATCATTATAAATGTAAGGGAGGCATACTGAATGCCTTCAAAGACAGACAGATGGTTGATATAAAGCTATGTTAAATTCAATTGTATAACAGACACATGCACACACACACACACACACACACACACACAATTCTGCAGTGCAACTTCAGGGGAATGACCTTAATTTAATGCAGAGGCTTAAAATACACACATATGTCTCCCCTTTTATTTGGGCTACCAAATTAACATAAAATAATACAATCAGGTTAATTAAATGGTTTTTCTCCAACTTTGTATAGTTTAGAATTGCAAAATTTTGTAAAAATATATTTGAAAATACGGTCACTCCATTTTATAAATTACTTTGCACTAAACATGTTTATGATTAGGTCTCAGAAAATTTATTTTGCAAATCAAGTTATGCATTCTCTATTATTAAAAAAAAGCATTATATAGCAAAAGTTAGTTTTTCTTTTCGTGTTCACTGTTAGAAGTATTAGCCCTTTCAAGATGCAATTGTGGTAATCATTTCATCTCAATGTCTAGTGGTATCTTCTCCCTCCAATTGTTATATATAATTTCTGCTCTGCTCTTATACATATGCCCAAATCTTTATTTTTTAATAAATATATGCAATACATATTTTTCAACAATAAAAAATTTGATTCATATGACTTTTAAAATTGTTTTATGTATAACATGTTATTGAACTTGTTTTAGGCCCTGTGTATGGTCTAATCTGGTGAATAGAATATTTTACTCAAAAAGAAAGTATACTTTGCAGGTGTTGAGTTTGGCACATTGTACATGACAATTAGGTGAAGTTGGCTGACATGTTGTTCTGCTCTTTTATGTACTTGCTGGTTTTGTGTTTACCTGTTTATCAATTACTAAGAGAGACTTGTGAAAGTCCCCAACTATTATTGTTTTTTTGTGTGTGTGTGTGTCTCCTTGTAGTTCTACCAGTTTTTGCTTTCTGTATTTTGAAGCTCTGTTATTAATGTGTAAACATTTAGGACTGTTACATCTTGATAACTTCATCCCTTTACCATTATGAAACGTCTCTATTTCTGACAATTCTTTGATACCAACCTAGCCCCACTAATTTCTTATGCATTGTGTTTATGGGGTGTATCTTTTCCGCCCTTTTATTTTCAGTGTGTCTGTGCCCTTTTATTTAAAGTGGGTTTTTTTTAAGTGTATAGTTGAATGTTGCCTTTTTGTATCCAGCCTGAGCACTCTGCTTCTCAATTGGAGTGTCTCATCCATTAACATATATTAAATGTCATATTAAGACTATTTACATATCTCAATTTGAGCCTCTGTTTTTTTCTCTGTTTTTCTTTTCCTGTCTTCTTTTATTTACTCTATTGAATTTCTGAGGTAATGCCTTGTATTATTTTGGTGGTTGTTTTAGAGATTACTATATGTATCATTATGGCCTATCTGTAAATAACAATAATTGAGCAATGTAATTAACTTCACGACAGTGTAATTCTATTTACCCTCTACCTTCTTGTATGTTCTTGCATATTTTACTTCTACTTATATCATAAACCCAATGATATTTTATCAGTATTGATTTAGACACTCAAGTCTTTTAAATAAATTTAATTGTGTGTGTATAGGTAGAAAATGTAATATCATAAATGTACTATTTTAACCTTTTTAAGTGTACATTTCAGTAGTATTAAATATATTCATAATTTTGTGCAACCATCACTGTCATCCATCTCCGTCACTCTTTCCATCTTGTAAAACTGCAACTCTATCTCATTATACAATAACTCTGATTTCCCTGTCTCCCCGACCTTGGCAACCACATTTTACTTTATGTCTCTATGACTTTGACTACTCCAAATGTCATATATAAGTGGAATCATATAATATTTGTCTTTTTGTGACTGGCTTATTTCACTCAGCATAATATCCTTAAGGTTCATCCATGTTGTGGGGAATGTCAGAATGTCCTTCCTTCTTAAGGCTGAATAGTAATCTATTGTATGTATTTAGCACATTTTGCGTATTCATTCTTCCATCAATGGACACTTAAGTTACTTCCATGTTTTAGCTACTGTGAATAATGCTGCTATGGACGTGGGTGTACAAATATCTCTTCAAGACTTTCTTTCAGTTCTTTTGTGTATATAGCCAGAAGTGGAATTGCTGGAACCTATGATAATTCTATTTGTGATTTTTTTGAAAAATTTTTATACTGTTTTCCACAGTGGCTGTACCATTTTACATTGTAATCAACAGTGCACAAGAGCTCCAATTTCTCTACAACCTTGCTAACACTTGTTATTTTCTGTTTTTATAATTCTGACCATTGTAATGAGTGTGAATTGGTAACTCATTGTAGTTTTGATTTGTATTTCTCTAATGACTAGTATGTTGAGTATCTTTTCATGTACTTATTGGCCATTTACATATTGACACAGGATTCTTTCTGTGCTGTTTCACCAGCCAGAAACCTCCACAGCTGGCAGTGTCTCTGCCTGGACTTTGCTCAGGCCTGTTGGGATTGTTCTGCACACTCAGCCCAGCAGCCTACACTTGGCTTGTGCTACTGGCCTGGATCCCGTGCCCATCATGGTTCTGTGCTCAGCCTGTGTCTGGTCCAGTGTGTCATGACCAGCTTCTGTCTTGGACGCTGGCATCTGGACAATGGGGACGCAAAGATGCCAGCAGCAACCACAGAGCTCCAAGTGGGTGCCATAGCTTCTGCTTGGGGAGTACCGAGGTCTAAGCCACCAGGGAATGCCACAGTTCTCTGTGTGTTATACTCTGGCTCAGGGAGTCTTGAAGTCTGGGCTCCCAGAAGGGATGCAGCTCTTCGCTCCTGTAGTCTGGCAAATGGGAGCATGTCACATCTCTTTTAATTCATGCCACCTGCAGCTCAGTGAACCAGCCAGGAGCACGCCTTTTTTGCTCCTGGGTTATTGTCCCCGACCAAGAAGAATGAGGTACATGGACTTGGAGAGTGAGTGAGGCAGAGAAGAATCTTACTGAGTGACAGAAAAGCTTTCAGAAATGAGAGGGAACATGAAGTGGGTAGCCCTCTGTGTGAGAGGGGTCATGGAAGTGGGTAGCCATCTGTGAGGCTGAGTCCAGGGTTTTTATGGGCTTAGAATGGGAGAGTGCATGCTGATTGGTCCATGAACAGGCCTGGAAAAGTCATCATTCCATTGGCTAAAAGGCATTGAGGAAGTTCTTACTCCAGTCGTGGACTATGCCCAGAACCAGTAGCTCAGTTTTCAGGCTTTGGTTTGACGGTTGGGTTTCACTGGGGACACACTTCTGTCTCCCTAGGAATTTATCTGTCTCCTGTCCCTATCAGTATCTCTTTTGGAGAAAAGCTGATCCAAGTCTTTTGCCCCTTTTTGAATCGGGTTATTTTTTGTCATATTCTGGCTATTAATCACTTATCAGATATATAATTCACAAATATTATCCCTGATTTTATAGTTGCCTTTTATTCTGTGTATATTATCTCTTGATGCACAAAACTTTTGATTTTCATGAAGTGCAATTTATTTTCTTTCTTTTGTCACCTGTACCTTGATATCATAGCCAAGAAATCATTGCCAATTCTTATTTCATGAAGTTTTTGCCCTATGTTTTAGAGTTTTACAGTTTTTAACCTTACATTTAGATCTTGGACACATTTTGAGTTAATTTCTGTATATGATATTAGGCAAAGGTCCAACTTCATTATTTTACATGTGAATATCCATTTTTCTCAGCTGAATTTGTTGAAAATACTTTAAAATGTCTTTTATATTTGCCAAATCTGGTATTTTTCTTTTCTACCTACAGATTTGGGTTTTCCTTAGGTTTCATTTTCCTTCACTCTAAAGAACTTGTTTTAGTTATTTTTGTAGTGTACACTCTCTCAAATTTTGTTTTTCTGAAAATATTTTATTTTGCCTTTTTATTTAAAGAATATTTTGATATTTTGATAAATAGAGGTAGTTAACTATTGATAGCTCTTTTTTTTTCTTTTAGCCTTTTAAAAATGTGTTTCTGTTGCTTTCTGGCCTACATTGTCCCTAATAAGAATTCAGCTATCATTGTTTTCATTGACCTATCTATCTTTCATGACCTATCTGACATATTTCTCTCCACCCTTGCCCCACTTCCTGTTGATTTTAAGATTCACTATTTTTTATTTTCAGCAATTTGACCATGGTAGGCTTAAGAGTGATTTTCTTTGTATGTATCTTGTTTGGAAATCCTTGAGCTCATTGTATCCGTGGGTTGATGTCTTTTATCAATTTGGGAGATTCTTGAGCATTATCTCTTCCAGTGTTTCTTCTTTCACATTCTCTTTCTCTTCTCTGGTATTTCAAGTAAAGAGTATTAGACATTTCATATTGACTTACAGATCTTGGATTTTCCATTTTTATTGTTTATTTTTCCTTTTTAATTTATTTTGATAATTTCTATAGATCTTTCTTCAAGTTTGCTGATTATTTCCTCTGCTGTGTCCCATCTGCTATTAAATCATCAAATATGTGTTTTATTTCTGATATAATTTTTTTTCTCTCTAGCATTCTCATTAGCTTCTTTTTATAGCTTTTATTTTGTAGCTAAAATTCATCATCTGTTCACACATGCTGTTTACCTTTTCTAATAGGTGGACTAATATATGTATCATGAAGTCCTTATGTCATAATTATAAAATCTGAGTAATCTCTACCTTTTAATATTCACCCTTCCGTCTATTGACCATTTTCCTTCATCTTTGTGTGTCTCATAAATGTTTAATGTATTACAGATTTTGTCTGGAAAAAGAAACAAAAAAGCAGTAGAGAAACAAGTAAATAATATTTATCCTCATAAAAATATTTACCCTTCTTTGTCAGTGTGTCTCCCTACACATTCACTAGTACAGTGAGACAAGTTGATTTACTCTACAGTGAAGCGTTGTCTGGGCTTAGGAGATTCAGTTATATTAATTTCACCTCTAGCTTCATATATTTTGACGGGGGGGATCAGCACTTCCCTCAGCAGGGATTTGGATTTGAGCATTGTTGAGATGCCAATGACACCTTAATGTTTTATAGTCTACATACCTGCTTTCTGAACCACAGAAAATGTATTTCTGCTCTTTAACTGGATGTTAACTTTCTAGATTTATGGCATTTTCTGTTCGCTCTGCAGTTCTGTCCATTGCTTTCTTACACCTTGGGAGCATTCTATCTATTGTGCTGCCCTGTCCTGAGGACTTAATGTGGCACTTGTGGCTCAAACTGAAGGCCCCAGGGCCCTGGGATGTGGGGGGATTTCTCTGAGCCTTTCTTCCTGATCTTGATCCTTTAGCAGCCACTGCCTTTCTACATTTCAATGCCTGGGGAGCCTCCAAGTAATTTCTTTTGGTTACTCTATGCTCTACTTACAGGAAGGTCCATAGGTTAGAGATGGTGGGTGTGTACAGAGTCATTTTATGGCCCAGGCTCCTCAGAATTTAAATCCATTCTGCCAACTCACATGTAGCTATTAAAACTATTTTTTAAATTTGGCTGGTTTCTCCATACCCTTGTTGCAGGGGGATGACTCCTGATGAAAGGAGGTTATATGTATTGTTTCCAAGAAAAGACTCATCACCATCTGGATTTTAATCTATTTTGCCTTCTATGCATTTTTACTTCTAATTATAATTTTTAAAATCTTTAATGTGGTTTTGTATGTAGCTTATTCAGCTGTACCTCATTGTTATTGTGAGAATGACAGTCTCTTAGACTACATCCTAAGCAGTGGGAGAAGCCTGTTTGGTTATTTTTGATGAAATATCAGACATTGTAAAAGAAAATTTGTAGTTTAAGGTTTTATGCAATTTATATGAACTTATGTTATAAATTAAACTGCAAACTTTCTGGTTCCTCCAGGTCATAGTGAGCATAATTATATATACACACACATATATATACATATATACATATAGTTATATAATGTATATAACTATATATAACTATATGTAAATATATATAAAATATATTATTTATATATAATATATAAATAATATATAATAAATATATAAATATATAAATATAAATATATATAAAATATATGTAAATATATAGTTATATACATTATATATCTATAACTTACATATATAGTTCAATAGAAAATTATTGAACTTATAGTTCAATAGTTTTCTTTTGGAAATGAAGTCAGTATTTTCCTCTTTTTCTGCTAAAATCCTATGTACTTACTACAATACACCAAGTAGTTTGTAACAAACCAAACAATAGTCCCAAAAGCTGCTCTGTAACAATAATAGCACAGGTGAAAATTATAGGAGTACACTACACACTCTGTCTCCTCTTTGTAGCGTTTAAGTGCAGCTTAGCAGAACAGTCTCCAAAAAGCTCTACGTAAACTAAATTGGTTTAACTTCTTTTCAGTTTTAACCACCTTACCCATAGGGACATTTTATCCTCAAGTATCTTGTTCATAGCTCTGTAAGTCTTAACATACACTAAAAAAATACAGATTATTCCAAACTTTGCAGTAAATTCTTATTGAAACTCAGTTTTTTTCCACATGAAAATTATGTTTGTTAAAATGCACATTATGATTCTGCTACTGGAAAAGGGTCACAATCCAGACCCCAAAAGAGGGTTCTTGGATCTCATAAAAGAAAGAATTCGAGGTGAATCCATAGAGTAAAGTGAAAACAAGTCTATTAGGAAAATAAAGGAATAAAGCATGGCTACTCCATAGGCAGAGCAGCTCCAAGGCCTGCTGGTTGGCTATTTTTATGGTTATTTCTTGATTAGATGCAAACAAGGGGTGGATTATTCATGAGTTTTCTGGGAAAGGGTTGGGCAATTCTCAGAAATGAAGGTTCCTCCTCTTTCAGATCATATAGGGTAACTCTCTGATGTTGCCATGGCATCTGTAAATTGTCATGGCTCTGGTGGGGAGTATCTTTTAGCATGCGAATGTATTGTAATTAACATATGGGCAGTGAGGGTGACCATCAGGGATCGCTTTCATTGCCATCTTGGTTTTGGTGGATTTTGGCTGGCTTCTTTACTGCATCCTTTTATCAGCAAGGTCTTTGTGACCTGCATCTTGTGCTGACCTCCTATTTCATCCTGTGACTTGGAATGCTGTGATGGTTAATACTAAACATCAACTTGATTGGATTGAAGGATACAAAGTATTGATCCTGGGTGTGTCTGTGAGGGTGTTTCCAAAGGAGATTAATATTTGAGTCAGTGGACTGGGAGAGGCAGACCCACCCTTAATCTGGGTGGGCACAATCTAATCAGTTGCCAGTGTGGCTAGAATATAAGCAGGCAGAAAAGTATGAAAGAGAGACTGACCTAGCCTCCCAGCCTGCAACGTTCTCCTGTGCTGGATGCTTCCTTCCCTTGAACATTGGACTCCAAGTTCTTCAGTTTCAGAACTTGGACTGGCTCTCTTTGTTCCTCAGCCTGCAGACAGCCTACTGTGGGACCTTGTGATCATGTGAGTTAATACTTAATAAACTCCCATATATAAATATATATATATATACACACACACACATATATATGTATGTATGTATAAAGGAATATATATATATTCCGTTATTTATGTTCCTCTAGAGAACCCTGACTAATACAGATTTTGGTACCAGGAGTGGTTCTAGAGGAACAGAATATTAAGAATGGATTTTTTTCAGTGGTTTTGAGGTTTCTGGAGTTGGCTGCTTAATATGATTAGACAAAAATTGCAAAGGACTCTCTTTCTAATGGTATGGAGAACACTAATAGTCCTTGGCATGAACTGTTCAGAGAGTTATGCAAAATAAATGCATTTGACACTTCTGATTCATCACTCCTGAGAGGCAAGGAGTTTAGTGACTCTATATATAATACCTTTGATCATGTGTGGAGAACCAAGGAACATAATGAAGCTGGTTGGTTGCTCCTAAGTTCAGCAGACAAAGTGATGAAAGAAAATGATGAATTCTATCTCCCAGCTTCAGAAGCAGATAGTGAGCCTCAAATCTGCTAAGATTGCCCTGAGTGAGAGTCTTATATCCTGTAGAGAAAGAGCTGAAGTTTTGGGAAAACATACATAAGCTCTTATCATGTGGGTGGCTGACCTGCAATGAAAGGTGCATGCACAGCCTCACCAGGTGTCTACTGTTAAAGTGAGGGCATTGATTGGAAAAGAAAGGGACCCTGCAACTTGGAATGGGGGCATGTGGGAAAACTATGATGAAGCTGGGGACACTGAGTTTGTAAGGTCTGATTAACCTTTTTTGCCAGAAGAAACAGCTTCCCGATCCCCGGTAGTAGCAACATCCTCTCCCCAACCCATGCTGCCCTCAGCCTTTCCACATTTGAGGAGATAAACCCTGCGCTGCCTGAGGCAACAGTGATGGCCTTCCCTGAGGCAGTTGCCAGGCCAGATAATGTTGATTCTCCTCAGAAGCCACCTCCAACACCCCTGTTTGCTTCTAGGCCTATAACTAGACTAAAGTCTTGGTGGGCCCCCAGAGATGAGGTTGAGAGTGTGACCCATGAGGAGGAGCACTACAATCGAAAGGAACTGCTTGAGTTTTCTAATTTATATAAACAGAAATCTGGAGAACAGGCATGGGAATGGATATTAAGGGAGTGGGATAATGGTGGAAGGAATATAGAGTTGGATCAGGCTGAATTTATTGATTTGGGCCCACTAAGGAGGGAGTCTGCATTTAATGTTGCAGCTTGGGGAGTTAAAAAAGATTCAATTACTTTATTTGCTTGGTTAGCTGAAATATGGATTAAAAGCTGGTCCACTGTGAGCAAGCCAGAAATGTCCAATCTCCCTGTTTAATGTAGAGGAAGGGACCAAAGGCTTAGGGAGATTGAGATGGTGGAGTAGATTAGTCCAGAAGATATACTCTTGACTAATGCCTTTTGAAATAGACTTGTGAGGGCAGCACCTGCATCTTTGAAGAGACCTGTAATTGCTCTTCTCTGTATGTCAGATTTAACAGTGGAAACTGCAGTCACTCAACTACAAAATTTAAATACAATGGGAATAATTGGATCTCGAGGTTGCAGGGGCCAAGTGGCAGCATCCAAACATCACAGGCAGAGTGAGTGTAGTTACCGTAATGGACAGCAGAAGTAAAGCGGCAGTCAAAATAGTCTGACATGTAGAGCTCTGGCATTGGCTAATTAATCATGGTATTTCTAGAAGTGAAATTGATAGGAAGCCTACTGCATTCTTACTTAATTTATACAAGCAGAAAACTTCAGGTTGAATGGACAGAAAACTAATTTGAATTATAAACACAGAGAATTATGGCCCCTCAATCAATTTCCAGACTTGAACCAGTTTACAGACCCAGAACCCTTTGAATGAAGGGGAGGCTGGGTCCCCTTGAGGAAGGATCCCACTACACTACCAACAATTTATATAGTGAATCTTTCTCCCATCCTTCCCCAGGGAGACCTCCAGCCTTTTGCCAGGGTAACTGTGCACTGGGGAAAGGGAAATAATCAGACATTTGAGGGACTACTGGACACTTGCTCTGAGCTGACGTTGATTTCTGGGGACCCAAAACGTCATTGTGGTCCTCCAGCTAAAGTAGGGGCTTATGGAGGTCAGGTAATTAATGAAGGTTTAGCTTAAGTCAGATTTGCAGTGCGTCCAGTGGGTCCCTGGACTCATTCTGTGGTCATTTCCCCAGAGCCAGAGTGCATAATTGGCATAGACATACATAGCAGCTGGCAGAACACTTACATTGGCTCCCTGATTGGTAGGGTGAGGGCTATTATGGTAGGAAAGGCCAAATGGAAGCCATTAGAGTGCCTCTACCTAGAAAAATGGTAAATCAAAAACAATGTCACATCCCTGGAGGGACTGCAGCGATTAGTGCCACCAAAAAGGACTTGAAAGATGCAGGGGTGGTGATTCCCACCACATCCCCATTCAACTCCCCCATTTGCCCTGTGCAGAAGACAGATGGATCTTGGAGAATGACACTGGACTATCGTAAGCTTAACCAAGTGGTGACTCCAAATCCAGCTGCTGTACCAGATGTGGTTTCATTGCTTGAGCAAATTAACACATCTTCTGGTACCTGGTATGCAGCCATTGACTTGGCAAATGCCTTTTCCTCCATTGCTGTCCATAAGGCCCAGCAGAAGCAATTTGCCTTCCACTAGCAAGGCCAGCAATGTATCTTTATTGTCCTACCTCAGGGGTATATCAACTCTCCAGCTTTGTGTCATAATCTTATTCAGAGAGAACTTGATCGCTTTTCGCTTCCACAAGATATCACACTGGTCCATTACACTGATGACATTATGCTGATTGGATCCAGTGAGCAAGAAGTAGCAAAACACACTGAACTTATTGGTGAGATATTTGCGTGCCACAGAATGGGAAATAAATCTGGCTAAAATTCAGGGACCTTCTACTTCTGTAAAATTTCTGGGGGTCCAGTGTTGTGGGACCTGTTGAAATACTCCTTCTAAGGTAAAGGATAAGTTGCTGTATTTGGCCCTTCCTACAACCAAGAAAGAGGCGCAATGCCTAGTGGGCCTATTTGGATTTTGGAGGCAACACGTGTATTCCTCATTTGGGTGTATTACTCTGGCCCATTTATCGAGTGACCCAAAGGCTGCCAGTTTTGAGTGGGGTCCAGAAAAGGAGAAGGATCTGCAACAGGTCCATGTTGCTCTGCAAGCTGCTCTGCCACTTGGGACATATGACCCAGCAGATCCAATGGTGCTTGAAGTGTCAGTGGCAGATAGGGATGCTGTTTGGAGCTTTTGGCAGCCTCCCATAGGTGAATCACGGGAGGCCTCTAGGATTTTGGAGCAAGGCCCTGCCATCTTCTACAGATAACCATTCTCCTTTTGGGAGACAGCTCTTAGGCTGTTACACTGGGCTTTGGTGGAAACTGAACGTTTGACTATGAGTCACCAAGTCACCATGCGACCTGAACTGCCTATCATGAACTGGGTGCTTTCTGATCCATCTAGCCATAAAGTGGGTTGTGCACAGCAGCATTCCATTATCAAATGGAAGTGGTATATACATGATCAGGCTCGAGCAGGTTCTGAAGGCATGAGTAACTTACATGGAATAACTTACATGAGGAAGTGGCTGAAATGCCCATGGTCTCCACTCCTGCCTTCTCTCCTCCAGCCTGCAGTGATGGCCTCATGGGGAATTCCCTATGATCAGTTGACAGAGGAAGAGAAGACTAGGGCCTGGTTCACAGATGCTTCTGCATGACATGCAGGCACCACACAAAAGTGGACAGCTGCAGCACTACAGCCCCTTTCCAGGACATCCCTGAAGAAGGACAGCAGTGAAGGGAAATCTTCCCAGTGGGCAGAACTTTGAGTAGTGCACCTGGTTGTGCCCTTTCCACGGAAGGAGAAATGTCCAGATGTGCAATTATATACTAATTCATGGGTTGTAGCCAAGGTTTGGCTAGATGGTCAGGGGCTTGGAAGAAGCATGATTGGAAAATTGGTGACAAAGAAATATGGGGAACGGGTATGTGGATGGACCTCTCTGAGTGGTCAAAAACTGTGAAGATATTTGTGTTTCATGTGAGTGCTCACTAACAGGTGACCTCAGCAGAGGAGGATCTTAATAATCAAGTGGATAGGATGACCTGTTCCCAGGCCACCCCTGTCATCACCCAGTGGGCCCATGAACAGAGTGGCTGTGGTGGCAGGGATGGAAGTTATGTATGGGCTCAGCAACATGGACTTCCACTCACCAAGGCTGACTTGGATATGGGCACTGCTGAGTGCCCAGTTTGCCAGCAGCAGAGACCAATGTTGAGCCTTCAATATGGCACCATTCCTTGGGGTGATCAGCCAGCTACCTGGTGGCAGATTGATTGTATTGGATCTCTTCCATCAAGGAAATGGAAGAGGTTTGTCCCTACTGGAATAAACGCTTACTCCGGATATGGGTTTCCCTATCCTGCATGGAATGCTTCTGCCAAGACTACCATCTGTGAACTCATGGAATGCCTTATCCACCATCATGATATTCCACACAACATTGCCTCTGACCAAGGCACTCACTTTATGGCTAAAGAAGTGCGTCAGTGGTCTCATGCTTAGGGAATTCACTGGTCTTACCATGTTTCCCATCATACTGAAGCAGCTGGATTGATAGAACGGTGGAATGGCCTTTCGAAATCACAATTACACTGCTAACTAGGTGACGATACTTTGCAGGGCTGGGGCAAGTTTCTCCAGAAGGCCTTGGATGCTCTGAATCAGTGTCCAATATTTGGTACTGTTTCTCCAATAGTCAAAAATCAGGGGTCCAGGAACAAAGGGGTGGAAACGGCTCCACTCACCATCACCCCTAGTGACCACTAGCAAAATGTTTGCTTCCTTTTCCCACAACATTACAGTCTGCTGGCCTAGAGGTCTTAGTTCTGGAGGGAGGAAAGCTGCCACCAGGAGACACAACAATGATTCCATTAAACTGGAAGTTAAGATTGCCACCTGGACACTTTGGGCTCCTCCAACCTTTAAGTCAGACTTAAGGCTAAGTAGAGGGTAACAGTGTTGTCTGGGGTGATTGACCCAGACTATCAAGATGAAATCAGTCTACTACTCCACAATGGAGGTAAGGAAGAGCATGTATGGAATACAGGAGATCTATTAGGGCATCTCTTAGTATTACCATGTGCTGTGATTAAGGTCAATGGGAAACTACAACAGCCCAATCCAGGGAGGACTACAAATGGTCCAGACCCTTCAGGAATGAAGGTTTGGGTCACTCCACCAGGAAAAAAAACCATGACCTGCTGAGGTGCTTGCTGACAGCAAAGGGAATACAGAATGCGTAGTAGAAGAAGGTAGTCATCAATACCAGCTATGACCTCGTGACCAGGTGCAGAAATGAGGACTGCAATTGTCATGAATATTTTCTCCTTTGGTTCAAAACGTGTTTGTGCATGTATACACTTGTACTAAGAAAATATCTTCTTTTTATTTCCTTTCTTCTTTATCATTTGACATACATTTATTGACTTCACATCAGCATTTAAGTATTGTTAACTTTACGTAATAGTATTTGGGTTGGGGATTGGTGCATTTCCGGTTATATGAAGGATAGTTGTACTATGTTAGGTGCAATTATAACCTTATTATTCTCTTTATTTGAAGATTATGATCTCAGGAGATGTGTATGGGTTCAAGTTGACAAGGGGTGGACTTTTGATGGATAAAACTGAATGGCAACTTGATTGGATTGAAGGATGCAAAGTATTGATCCTGGGTTTGTCTGTGAGGGTGTTGCCAAAGGAGATTAACATTTGAGTTAGTGGGCTGGGAAAGGCAGACCCACCCTTAATCTGGGTAGACACAATGTAATCAGCTGCCAGTGCAGCTAGAATATAAGCAGGCAGAAAAATGTGAAAAGAGAGACAGGCCTAGCCTCCAAGCCTACATCTTTCTCTTCTGCTGGATGCTTCCTGCCCTCGAACATCAGACTCTAAGTTCCTCAGTTTTGGAACTCAGACTGGCTCTCCTTGTTCCTCAGGCTGCAGACAGCCTATTGTGGGACCTTGTGATCATGTGAGTTAATACTTAATAAACTCCCCTTTATATATATATATGTATATATATATACTCCCCTTTATATATATACGTGTATATGTATATGTGTATATGTATGTGTGTGTATAAACTCCCCTTTATGTGTATAAACTCCCCTTTATATATATATGTATATATATATACTCCCCTTTATATATATATGTGTATATGTATATGTGTATATGTATGTGTGTGTATAAACTCCCCTTTATATATATATGTGTATATATATACTCCCCTTTATATATATATGTGTATATGTATATGTGTATATGTATGTGTGTGTATATATATGTGTGTATATATATATACACACACATACATATACACATATATTTCATTAGTTATGTCCCTCTAGAGAACTCTGACTAAGACAAATGACTAACCTCCTGGTAATGCAGCCCTGTAGGTCTCAGTCTTATTTTATCCACCCCCTATTCAAGATGGAGTCACTGGAGTTCAAACACCTCTGACAATTCAATAATACATGGGGACGGGGGTGGGCAAGGCTGGGATTTTGTGTATCTCACATGTACTTAGTTAATGACTGTGCTGCCTGTCCGTGGCTCAGACTAGTAAAAGTCATACATTAGCATGCCCAGTTGCCTTCTCCAGCATAATATCCAGCACCTATTTGGATGCCTCCACTCTCACAACCCCTTAGAATTGTGGAACTGAGAACCTGGCTTTCTGACAGTGACAAAGCTTAGGTATTAATGAAGGCATTATTTTGGCTCATTGTTCCAAGATGCTTACCAGTAATTGGTATTGCTATTGTTATTTTCATTAGGCTGGGGAAAAATTTCTGCAAGATAGGAATTGTATATGTTACCTTATTTATCTCTTTCTTCCTGCCAACAGCCACCCCCAAACTGCCAGATTCTCACAGGAGTGGATTGTCACCTGTCATAGAATTGGTGGCAAGAACTGGAATTTCCCTCTTCATATCTTCCTTCTCCTTCTTTGTGAAAATTATAGTTAGGCATTTCTATGTCTAAGCACCTGATGCTAGCGGCACTCAGTGAAAAGCAATTGTCACTTCCACAAAAGAGGAGCCCAATACTCCCCCTATGGTTGTAAAAAAATGTGTTATATTGGATAGATAGACTGCTCTGTGAGGCTACAGGCCAAAGAACAGTTGAGCCCTTTTAAATAGTCAGGATTCCTAAAATCTACAGATAGGGAACACAGTGCTTGCTTATCAGCCACTGACGACTTCAAAACCTCAAAAACTGGAAAAAGTATGGAAAGTTAGATAACTAGTGGGTACTTTCCCCACTCCCCCATCCCCTCCCCCCAAAGCTGGCTTTTCTTTCTCCTATTGAAAAGAAAAGCATCAGAAAATGAAATTTCCAGCAGATTAAGGAAATGCAGGAGGGCAGCAAGCTACACAATGGCCTCAGTGGATTTTCTTTCTACGTGTTCTTTCTGTGTTCCTCACAGCGGTGGGAAAACCATGCCCTCTGAAATAGAGGCTTAGCTGAAAGCTAATGCCATCTAAAGATGGAGGATTCACATCCCTGTTTGAGAAAGACCCTGAGGCCACCAAGAATTTGCCCAGTTAACAGCTCTGACTTTACAAGGGACTGTGACAAATCCTATAGAAACTAAAACTACTTTCTAGCTTTAGAAAAAATGCTGCATGGAAAAATTATAATTCTTTTTCTCTTACTTGGTTAAAAAAGTAAAAAAAAAAATGCTGCTAACCACTTTACTCCATTCTAACCTTGACTGAGATCTTTCTCCTAAAATTTGTACTGTTCAGAATAGTTTAAATGATACTTGATGATATGAAAACTTCTTGTTCTAATTGCCTTTTGCAAACCTGTATATTCTTATATCACTATTCCTTTATATTCTCTTATACTGAAGATGTCCTAAAAGTTCAAATACTTCCTGGGTATTTTACATGGTTCGTTTTCTACCTGATAACCATCCTTCATCTCTGGGCATTTATGTGGACAATGGAAGTCTGACAGAGGCTTTCATTTTAGGTTGATAAATCTCAAACAGTCCACATCAATCAATTAATTATTCACTGAGCATTTATTGTGTATCTTTCATGTAGGTCGCTATGCTTGGGGTAAAGGTGAGGGGAGGGGGCACAAAATAAAAAGTAAATTATTTCATTCCCGACTCTCATGAACTAACAATCTACTGCTGAAATTAACAGGTAAGTAACAGCTTAGTACAAAGTTCAAGTCTTTGGCATTTCTTGGCTATTCTTTCTTATTTCAACAACATCTATTTTCTTCACAGTTTATATCATTGTTTCGTGTCACCACATTTTGAGCAACCTGGACACAGTTACCTAGTGTTAGAATACTTCTTAACTACTGATGAGATCTTCTCATGCCCCAGTATTTGCTGCAATTTCATTTATGATGCATTTGTTTGCACACGTCATTCAATATAAAAAAAGGCTATTATGTCAAGTTAGCATGCATGATTTTATTTATGCAACATTTTATCTTATTTCTACTGGACAGTTAACATTATCTTGCGTCAGGGATGAATTTTCAACTTTTGTTATGTATGTTTCTACTTAGCTACACGAACAGCTACAGTGAAGAAATTTGTGTGTTACAGGACAGGCAGCTTTTTTTTTTCTTTCTTTTAAAATAAATCAGGACTACCTAGGTATTTTAAATAAAAAAAAGTGAATAAATGTGTTCACAGAATGCTTTTTTTTAATTAAAAAGGAGTTATTTTTTTTTTTTTTGAGACGGAGTCTCGCTCTGTCGCCCAGGCTGGAGTGCAGCGGCGCGATCTCGGCTCACTGCAAGCTCCGCCTCCCGGGTTCACGCCATTCTCCTGCCTCAGCCTCCCGAGTAGCTGGGACTACAGGCGCCCGCTACCACGCCCGGCTAATTTTTTGTATTTTTAGTAGAGACGGGGTTTCACCGTGTTAGCCAGGATGGTCTCGATCTCCTGACCTCGTGATCCGCCCGCCTCGGCCTCCCAAAGTGCTGGGATTACAGGCGTGAGCCACCGCGCCCGGCCAGGAGTTATTTTTTAAGAAAAGAAAGCATCAAAGTGTCTCTGCCTCCAGCTTTATAAACACCAAAATAATTGCTTGGGAATTTTGCAGTGCAGGCAAAGTGTGTACTGTAGAAATGTATCAATCTTGGGGTCATGCTGAACTTCTCTGGAGCCCTACTGCAACCTCTGCCTCCCAGGTTCAAGCAATTCTCCTGCCTCAGTCTCCCGAGTGACTGGGATTACAGGCATGTGCCACTACACCCAGCTAATGTTTTTTTTTTTTTTTTTTTTTTGTATTTTTAGTAGAAACGGGGTTTCACCATGTTGGCAAGGCTAGTCTCGAACTCCTGACCTCAAGTGATCTGCCCGCCTCAGCCTCCCAAAGTGGTGGGATTGCAGGTGTGAGCCACTGCATCCAGCCTCTAGTTTCTTTTCTCATGAAATGTGGACAGTGGTGGCTAACTCACAAGGTTCTGGTACAGAGTAAAGCGTTCAGCTCTTTAAGTCTACTAAGGCCTCCTTAGATTGTGGAAAAGTGCAAAGTGGTCAGAATCCCATAAAATGAGTGGCATGAGCTTATAGTTAGCAGTGTGGTGGCTGTGCTGCTCTGGTCCTCACAGTGCCCACTGGAGACTGGGTAGAGATACACACCCAAACCGAACTACAACTCGGGCTCCCAGTCCCACCTGTCAAACCCTCACACAGGATGAGGCTTCTGGTGCTCTTCCATCTCTCCAAGGAGTGTCCCTGCCCATCCCCTCTGCACTGGGCACCTTTGAGTTTTGGCAATGGATTTTTACTTTGTATGGAAGAATTTCCACCCCCATGCCCTGCTGTGCCCTTCACCTCCCCGGACGGGATTTTATTTCCATCTCCAGTTTGGTCCAAGATGTTTAGTTGATCTGTGTTTCATTAACTGATACAACTATTTTCTAATTCATAATTTTCCTACCCATCAACCATACTTACAAACAGCGTATCTACAGCCATTGTCAAATAGAAAAGGAATCACTACAAATTGATAGAAAAAAATAATTGATAGAACAGAAGGCCTTTGTCATGTTGGGGATTTTCTCCTCGCTGCTGGCCTCCTTAAAGTGGCTGCGGAAATTGCTTGCTGTACAACAGTCACCCAGAGTCCCACATTCTCTGAGGTGTTAGATCTATGGTCGCAACAAGGTAACTAGGGAAACTGACCTGTGGCTACTATCTTTTCCTGGCCTTCCTGTTCCTGCTAAATTGTAGAACCCTTCCTCTTTCCCTGATTTGGGATGAGTTTGACACAGCATGAGTGCAGGAAAGCCTTATTACGTCTCCACAGTTTGTATTCTCTTTTTATTAGGCTACTTTTCTCTCCCTGCCTTCCACCCTCACTGTCTTTATTCCTTCCTCTGAAATCCTTATTTAAAAAGCCATAGTCAAAGTGATATTAAGTCATTTTCTATCATAAGAAACTAAAATATATATAAAATGGGAAGCAAACTCCTTATAGAACTGTACAAGTTATAGCTTTACAGAAAAAAAAACTGAAATGCTGTTTTGCCCTCGCGTAGAAAAATTAATTACATGGATAGAAAGACACGCTTTTGCCTTTCTCTCTCTCCAGTCTTCCCCAACACTCCTCCCTATCTCAGACCTTTAGACAGAAAAATAAAGGTAGAGATCAATGAGCTGGGGAGTTAGCACAATACAAGAATATCTGGAGGTGTTGCAAGTGGGACTTTGACATCATAGGATTCTCTAGAAGAAAACCACTGATGAGATTTTCCTCTGACAAAGTGTCGGGGAGGAAACCAGCCCATTCTAGGGCTCCAGTGTCATTACGTGGCCCTATTTGCTCATAAATGGATGACATCTAAAGGAGAAATCAGTATGTTACTGGCATCATGATGTATGCCATTTTTCAGTAACTAAATATTATTATTTGAGAAATGTGATTTTTCAAAACAAAACTATTAAAATTGAAAAAATATTCTGATTTGGGGTCTGTGAGTCCTAAGGCTAAATGGCAGTAGCACTTAAATTACATTTTTGTGGTTCTACTTTGATTCTACTCAAGAAACCAAGAAAAAAAAAAGCCAATGTCAGATATTGAATCTACATTAATATTTCAAGAGACAAACACAATCATGCATGCCTGAAATTAATGAAACAAAAGAAAATTTGTGGTAAGGAGAGGTAAATTTTAATACAAAGGAAAAACACATAGTAAAAAAAATTTAAAAATTTAAATATGTTTTTTTCTTACGTATAAAACAAACCCAAAACAAACTTCACATTTTGAACACTTTTCATGCTAATGTAAAGGCTAATGTTTATTTGTCTAAACAAGAGAAAGAATATATATATTTTTAACCTGGATGAATAAAATCTGTAAGCCCGGAGAGTTTATAACAATGCAATGCACTTGTAGCACCTGTTGTCATGGATACACACTGTCTCTGATGGGAACAGTAAAAATGACCCAATCACACCGAGAGACCGTGCACTCTTTCTGACCAGCACTTATATACTGTTTATAAGTTACACTATTTTCATACACGATTCGGTTTTGTATGAAAATCTCAAATACAAGTTTCTACCACTCTTAGATTAAAGGATGGCTTTTGCAGTGTAAAATTTAAAAATTCCACCAACACCAATCTTCTAAGCATATAATTTTCACTGACCTAACTATTCTTCATTATTCTCTAATTTTGCTCACAGAATGGTGGTTTTAATGTATTTGTTTTATAAATGACTTTTTTTTTCCAAGTGAGATAACATCATTCTAATGGTTGAAATGCTAAGCACATGATTTAACCTGATGGCTTTGAGAATCAATAGTATGCCTTCAATATCATTTTATCTGTAGTCTTGGGCAAGTTACTTAGCCACTGAGCCTCGTTTGTACAATAAATATAGTAAGGATAATAATATTACCTAACTCTTAAATCTTTCATGAGCATCACATGAGATAACCCATGAAAATGTTTAACACAGTCCCTGGCCCAGGGCAAAATTCAGTCACTGTTTAGTTACTAGTGCATAGGAAGAATCACTGGCAATCACCTTTGTAACACTTTAAGGTAAGCCAAGTAGTAAGCCAAATAAATCATCAGTGGTTATGCATATGAAACATTGAGTCAGCACTGGAAATAATCAGAGATGCCTGTGTTCATTGCCTTAAATATTAGTCATATGACTTCAGTATTTCCCCTGTCACAAATCAGTTTGGACTAATTAACTACTCATCCACACCAAAATATGTGAGTCAACATTGTTAGCAGCACAATCTAAATACACAACTTCTCTTCCTTTTCGTATTATGTCTGTGACCCCGGCTCTCAACACCATGTCTGAAAATTAGGAGCATTGTAAACCTGAGCATGAGGTTCACTGGTGCTGTGGAAAACGCAGGGGGAAAAAGAAAAAGCAGAAATGGACCTGGGCTTGCATCGCAGCTCTGCTTTCCATTTCTGTGTGACCTTGGTCTGAAGTCTTCCCCTCCCTCATGTTCAGTTCATTTTTCTGTACAGTGAAAATAATATCAACCTTGCTAGTTGTGACAAAAAGACATAATGAATATGAAGGTCCTACTAAATAGCAGGTATTTTCTTGAGAAAGCTGGGCTTCTTAGTGTTTTCCGTATTCCTCACTATTGCCTCACCTTTTACCCTAATATTATTTGTAACTCACCTTAAATATTCTCTAACTGTAATTCAATTACATAAAAAAATCTGCAGAGTTTGATCTCAATCTTTCTGTGCCTAATGAGTACCCATATACAATTTTGATTCACTTGTCATTTTTTTCTTCCATTATCCTAAAGGATCACTTACTCTTTTCCCAAAGACTGTGTATGTCTGAACCTTCTCTCATATTAATCTTCTAATAGTTGTTAAGGACTACTTCTTCCCCAGGGAAAGGGGTAAATAAAGATGTAGAGACATGTCAGAATAAGAGGTAAATCTGGCAGGGAATGCATAGGTTTGAAAATATTCAGACGTCTTCCCTTGAAGAAGACCATCCCATAGCCTTTCTCCATCTTTCTTGGTCATTGAGAATTATTGCTCTTACACAGAAGAAAGTTTAACAAACTTAGACTTATGCTACCAGGAAATTGGATGGAAGGAAACTACTGCTTGAGTCTGCTCTTATAGCTTCATAGCACCAGGATGTGAAGATCTTTTATGTCCAGAATACTGCACATTCCACAATCGGGCAGATAGTGTGTGGGAAAGGATGTACTACAGAGAAGGGAAGCTCCTGGGATGGAGAGAATTGAGAAATGGTGTAAGACCTTGGAGAAACAGGATCTTCATAAAGGAATGAGAGTGCTACCAGTGAACAGACTTGTTTGGTAGAAACTTGTGAAAAATGAAGCAAGGATGCAACCCTGAAAGGAGAAGAAGAAAGCTTGTGACTGTGACTGTATGCATTGCAAAATCATAATCTACTAATCGGCTGTAGGACAGCAGTACCCAACTTTTTGGCACCAGGGACCGGTTTCGTGGAAAATGATTTTTCCATGGATGAGTGGGGAATGGTTTTGGGATGAAATTGTTCCAACTCAGATCATCAGGCGTTAGAGTCTCATAAGGATCACACAAACCAGATCCCTGGCATGCACAATTCACAGTAGGTTTCACGCTCCTATGAGACTCGAATGCCTCCGCTGATCTGGCAGGAGGTGGTGCTCAGGTGGTAATGCTTGCTTGCCTGCTGCTCAGTTTCTGCTGTGCAGCCTGATTCTTAACAGGCCTCTGACCGGTATCAGGGGTTGGGAACCCCCGCTATGGGAAACTAAGTTGGTAGCCAATCCTTAGTGAAAAAGCGCATGGCATGCTTCACATTCATTCACTCATTCATTTGTTATTATTATCATTGTTATTATTTGTTATTTTAATACTAGAGAATATGAAGGAATACAGCATCTTTACTCTTGAAGTTATATAGTTGAAAAGAAATACACAATTAACCTTTAAGCTGTGCTAGATTTTTTAGGTGAAAACAGAAAATAACTTCACAAAGAAGACAGCATTTTAGTTTGGCTTTGATTTTCATGTTGATTTGATTTGATTTTTTTCAAGTGAAGGATGGTGAGAAATGTTTTTAGGTCAAGAGAACAACATAATCAAAGTTACAGAGGTATGAAAGTCCATGATGAGCTCAGGAAACCATGAGGGTTCTGTGGTTTCCTGTGTGGTTGAGGGCTGGAATTTATTGGAAAAGATGACAGAGCAGAGTCTGGCCACAAAGGTTGGAGCCAGATAGTGACCGGCATTTCATGACATCCACGCAGTTCAGATTTTATCTCGTATAACAAAGGAGACCCCCAAAATTGAATTTATTTTAGTTTTGTTTTGATTCAAATACAAATATTTTTTATAATGAGTATAAGAGTAAATTATATATATTATGTCCCAGAAAGATAGCCACTGTGGACATTGGTTTATATTTCCTAGAGTTTATATGAATTTATATAGAGAGACAAATAGATAGCTCCCCCTCTCTGAGAAATGCAGCCACGGTAGAACTGCACAGTCTCACTGCTTCCTATTTATAATTGAATAGATAGGAGTAAACGTTTGATCCATGCTCAGATCTCCTCTCCTCAGAATGTGGAAGCTGAGCTCAGGGAATTTACATATTCCGTTCAACGAATGAAGAAGTAAGATAAATCCAGGGCTGTGGCAGCCAAGCCCTATCATTGATGCACCAGAAACAAAGAAAGCTATCAACTTCTCAAATTGACTCAACAATTTTACTTCTGGGAAATTATCCTACAGAATACTTTGAACATATGCAAAGTTATAAAGATATTCGGTGCATCACTGTTTAAAGTAGCAGGAAGCTAAAAACAACTAACTGCTCATTAGTAGATGGTCAATTAAATAAGTTATAGCAAATTCCTAAAATTAATTCCCAGAAAATCTTTTAAAAGCATGAGTGTAGGCATGGAAAGTTGTTATCTGTTATGTGAGACAAATTATAATATTATAACGCTCTACATTTAAATATAGATAACTACATAAAAATGCGTAATGTATACAGTATTCAATGATATAGACTTAGGCAAAGAATGAAACAGTTACAATTTTAAGTTACATGCTACTCATTCTTTGCAAATACAAAATCATGTAACATGTAAAGAGATAAAGTACAATTGTAATTTTAAATGAGGAAGATACTGCTTCAAGCTGGAGGAATCAGGGTGTCAATGAAAAGAGCCAAACTCTGTAAAATATTTGATAAATAAATATTTATCAAATATTCAATATCAAAAATCAAAATATCAAAAAAATCAAATATCAAAAATATATTAAATAAAATAAAGATTTATTCTGAGCCAGATATGAGTGACCATGGCCTGAGGAGTGGTCCTGAGATCATTGGCCCAAAGTGTTTGCGCTACAGCTTGATTTTTATACATTTTAAGGAGGCAGAAATTACAGGCAAGTACATAAATCAGTACATGTAAGGTGTACATTGGTTTGGCCTCGAAGGGCAGGACATCTTAAGGAGGTAGTCAGGGCAGAGAGGGCTTAGAGAAAATATATGGCAAGTGTTTCCTATTTAGACTTTTGAAAGGTGCCAGTCTTTCAGATCAGTTAATCTCTTCAGGATTGGGAGGGCCTGGAAGGAAAAAGATCTAATTATGTTAATAGATATTCTTTACAGATACCGATTTTCTCCCACAAAAGACAGTTTTCAGGGCCACTTCAAAAGTATAGTAAAGAAACATATTTTGGGTAAAATATCTTGATTTCCTTTTTTGTCATGTGATGTTATGCCACAGTCAGATTGGAAAGTAAGTCACATTATATAGGGTTAAATAAAACCTATCTGATGAGATTTTACTGTTTGTAAGGTGTGACTTCTCAAGCCCCTTAATAGGAATTTGGGCAAGACAGAAAAAAGATCAGAGTTTAGTGCTTAGTAGTAAGCTTCGTGGAAAAGGTAGCATAAAAATATGGACTAGGCCAGTTGTGACTGCCCATGCCTGTAATCCCAGCACTTTGGGAGGCTAAGGTAGGAGGATCACTTGAGCCCAGGAGTTGGAGACCAGCCTGGGCAACACAGTGAGACCTCATCTTTAAAATATATACAGACACTGATTCATACACATGCAAGTCATTTGTGTAGGGCTCATGGCAATATACTTTTTAATTGCTTCAGTTTCAGTGTATGTGCTGAGGAAGTGAAGCTTTAAAATACAATGAAAGGACCAGAAATACCATTTGACCCAGCAATCCCATTACTGGGTATATACCCAAAGGATTATAAATCATTCTACTCTAAAGACACGTGCACACGTATGTTTATTGCAGCATTATTTACAATAGCAAAGACTTGGAACCAACCCAAATGCCCATCAATGTTAGACTGGATAAAGAAAATGTGGCACATATACACCATGGAATACTATGCAGCCATAAAAAAGGATGAGTTCATGTCCTTTGAAGGGACATGGATGAAGCTGGAAACCGTCATTCTCAGCAAACTAACACAGGAACAGAAAACCAAACACTGCATGTTCTCACTGATAAATGGGAGTTGAACAATGAGAACACACGGACACAGGGAGGGGAACATCACACACTGGGGCCTGTCAGGGTGCTGGGGGCTAAGGGAGGGATAGCATTAGGAGAAATACCTAATGTAGATGACAGGTTGATGGGTGCAGCAGACCACCATGGCACATGTATACCTATGTAACAAACCTGCACATTCTGCACATGTATGCCAGAACTTGAAGTATATATATAAATACAATGAAAGGTTATGTTTATTCTCTGCAACTGGGATATTCTAAAATTTAAGTAAGAAGTGAGTCTCAAATTGTACCTATGGAAGACTACTTAAAACTTACTATTTAGAATTCATACTTACACACCAACTAGTACAACACCATTTATGGGTGAGGGGTTCTAAATTACTTTATTGTTACATACACATTTTACATTTTAAAATAAATTTTTAGAGTAGTCACTATGTTCCAGGAATTTGAGTAGTAGTCGGATAATTCTTGTCTAATTCATTGTGTTAGGTATACAGCAGGGAACCTGACAGACAAAAATCTGGTGGCAAGTTAGTCGAAAGACTAGGCTTGGAGTACGAAATTCATTCAGTTATGCCCTCCTACCCATTTGGCGCCCCCTTTAAAGGAATTGTAGACCTATTAAAATAAAGAGAAAAGGTAGTGAGTAAAAAAGTCCAACTATTATTAAAATATAATTTTTCAAAAAATTAGAAAATGTGATTTTCATACAAATATAATATGCATGTATGTCAAAGATTGTACTGAACTCATTAATATTAATGAACCAGTTAGATGGTAAAACCAGCCTAAAAAACATTTCGGAAGCTAGGTATTTATAGGCAGAGTAGTAAAGGAATGTCAAAATAAGATAACTAAATTGGATACAAAAATGATTACAATGACTATAATTTTGAGGCTCTCTCTTCCACCATACTGATGTTATTTGCATCTTTACCAGAAAAATCTACAAATTAGCCTGTGCTCCAATGGAATTATGAAATACCTGTCATCATAAAGTTAATCAAAGGCATAAGCCTGGTGCTGACAGAATAATCAGTAATCTTTTCCTGTTTTTGAGTTGCAGATAATTTTTCTCACAGTGGTTTACAAAGCTCCATAACTTTGACCTCAGTTATCCTTTTGGAAGATTATCTGAATATGTTGATTTATATGACTATGTTGATTTATCTCTAGTACAGAATCTTTTAAATATAAATAGCCATCATTCTGGAAGCAAATAATATTGAAAGGCCACAGGCTTGATTTTCATTTTCTTGGATCTTCATGCTGTTATAAGAATCACAGCTTTAGTGAAATGTGTTTGAGAACTTGTTAGAATAAATTCCTTATTCTGCATTTATATTTAGTCAGAAGGCTGAAGACAAGATCTCTAACAAGCAACATAAGAAATAAGATGGAAGTAGCTGAGTTTCTTTTAAACAAGAATTATTTTACTAATTCCCAATAGACCATTTTGCACTGAAAAGTGTACTTTTGAAACTCCTGATCCACTTCACATTGTTCATTCATCAATAGGTTTATCTATCAAACAGTTTTAGGAAACTACTAAGTACAAAGCTACTTGCTGTGGAAGATGTTAACATTTATAACAAGAGTTTATCACTTCTTAATGAGAATATTTTAATATGGTGACAAATGGCATTCACTGTGTATTTGACACAACTGGTGGCATACTTGGTGGCGTGTCCATATTTCAGTCCCCCCAACTTTCCTCTGAAGAGAATAAAGCTGTCTTCTCCTGCCAGATAATAAGCCATATCAAAATGACTAATGAAATAACTGGAGATGAATATTTGTTTTTGAACAGTAGTCTTTTTCCTTGATAACTGATGTTCTAAAATGTAAGTATAAAATCGAGTCTCAAATTCTATGTACAGAAAGCTACTCATGGCTTATGCTTTAGAATTTACTCTTACACAGCAATGAATACAATCTCAATATGTATGAAGAAGGAATTATGAGTTAATCAGGGTCACATAAGCGATCACAGAATATACGCTGAAAGGGCACTATTCAAGGAAAAGCATAAATCACTAGAATATAAGCTTCATGAGGGTATAGATTTTTGTCTGTTAGGTTCCCTGCTGTATACTTAACACAATGAATTAGACAAGAATTATTGTACTACTTCTCAAATGCCTGGAACATAGTGAACAGTCTATACTAAAATACACTGCATTGCGTAAAGACTCAGATTCATTCAACACATTTAAAAGATTCAAAATGAATATACAGTAGGTCATTTTGCAGATATAAAAAAATAGAATGATGCATGTCTGTATCTATGAGATTAAAATTGAATTTGGATTAGAGAAGCACCCAAGCTTGTTTATCAGGAGACAACCAAAGAGTAGCAATCTTAGTAGTTCCAGCAGGAGAGTCTAACAGTGGTGAAGTAGAAAAGTGGACAGATTTACTATGTACTTAGAAGGTCCAGATAAATCATACCTGGTGATTAACTGAATATTGAAGATAAGAAAGTGGCTGATGTCATGGAGGACTCATTGGTGTCAAACTTGGTAAGAGGTTTGATAGTATTCCACTTGCTGAGACATGCAATAACAAAGGGGCATACTTTGGGAAGACCACAGAATCATTCGTACATCCTTGGAGCTTGATTCACATGGAAAAATATCCAAGTGAAGACAGGGCCAACTACATATTTTCTGGGGCCAAGTGCAAAATGAAAATGTGGGGAGTCTCGTTGGAATTTCAAGACACTGAACGCAATGTCTCAAAGCATGCACGGGATTCTTCTGCGCACTGGGCCTGACCAGGTTGCACTCACTGGACAGCCAGTACTGGAAGGGCCTAACAAGACCTTAAGCTTGAATAGAAATTAGGGATTTATTGGAAGAATGGAATTACATGAGCTGCTTCAGGAAAGAACATCACTGAGAAGAAAAGACTCTTGGGTTTAGCCCTCAGGCGTCCTAATTCTGAAGCTGAAGGTCATAAAAGAAGAAGGAGTAACAAAGTAACTGAGAAGGAAGTCACTACTACTTGGGTGAAGAAAACTCAGAAGAGTCTGTTTTTGTAGAAGGCAAAGTGATGCAGGGCGGGTGAGCCCAAAAATTGGGGCTTAGCCTGGGAGAGTTTTTGGCTTTGCCCCGGAAAAAATGTATGGGCGAACCAGTGGTGCTAAAAGCAACTTTTATTGAAGTGGCAGTGTACAGCAGTAGCAGAGACACTAGTGGGTCAGGGCTACCCCACAGGCAGTATGCCCAGAGTGGAAGCTTCAAGGCACCTCTGCAGTTATATTAATACCCACTTTTAATTATATGCAAATTAAGGGGCAGATTATGCAGACATTTCTAGGAAAAGGGTGGCAACTTCTGGGTTGTCAGGTTGTTGTCATGGAAAGGAGCGGTAACATCTGGGTGTTGCCATGGCAACGATAAACTGACATGGCACACCGGTGAGTGTGTTTTATGGAAAGCTGCTTTCATCCTGTCCCTGTTTTGCTAGTCCTCAATTTGGTCTGCTGTCTGAGCCTCACCAATGGATTTGAGTCCTGCCTCCTACCTCAAAGTGAAGGCGTGTTTTAGGCAAAAGGGAACGGTATAATTCTGCCAATATGCTGAGAGGACAAGGACTGAAAGGGGGTCCTTGGATTTAGTGGCCAAGAAGTCACCTCACAAGGATGGTTTCAGTGGAGCTATTGTAACCGAAATCAGGTCCGGACCATTCATCACCTGAAAGCCAAAAACCCAAGAGATGAGATTTGGTGAAAGGAAAGTCAGCTTTATTCAAGAAGCCAGCCACTGGAAGAGGCAGTGAAGGAGTATTTGAAGACCACCTCTCCATGTTGTGCCTCTGGATCACGGGTTGTTAAGGGAAATTATGGGAAATAATGCTTAAAACATTTTTTTGTGTGTGAAATTTGTACAGTCTCAGGCATGCAGTTAATCATTGTTTTATCAATGTGGGGGGCACCCTTCTGCAGGTGGCCTCAGCCTGTCCTTATCAAGCTGGCCAGCCCATTCCCAAAGCTGTTGGTCTGTGCATTTTCTTTCATACCGGTTGAAGGTCCTGTTTTCCTGAGACTGCTTTTAGTGAATAATCTACAAACTGAAGCAAAGCAGTAATTCCATTTAAGTAAGCAAATTCTAAAGTGAAAATTTGGCAGTGAAATCTTCTAATTTTAGAATATTTTTAGGGCCAAGCATGGTGGTTCATGCCTGCAATCTCAGCATTTTGGGAGGCTGAGGTGGAAGGATACCTTGAACCCAGGAGTTCAAGACCAGCCTGGGCAACATGGCGAGACCTTATCTCTACCAACATTTTAAAATTAGCCACATATGGTGGTGCGTGCCTATGGTTCCAGCTACTCTGTAGGCTGAAGGAGGAGGATCACTTGATACCGGGAAGTTGAGGCTGCAGTGAGACATGCTTCCACCACTGCACTCCAGTCTGGGCAATAGAGTGAGAACTTGCCTTAAAGAAAAAAAAAAAAGTAAAAGTTTTGAAAGAATATTTAAAAAAATAGAGTGTTTTTAGAGTTACAGAAAAATTGGAAAGACAATATAGAGTCCCATATACCTCACCACCATTTTCTGCTCTTATTAATATCTCACACTCATAAGACAGCTCATTTGTCAGAATTACTGAACCAAGGTGGAAGCATTAGTATTCATTAAAGTCCGTAGTTTATTCTGATTTCCTGTTTTTATCTTATGTCCCTTTTCTATTTCAGGATCCTATCCGGGATACTATATTACATGTAGTGATCATATCTCTTGACTGTGACGGTTTCTCAGACTTTCCTTGTTCTTAATGACTTAGTTTTGAGAAAAAGAAGGTAATTTTTTAAGTGAGCAAGAAAAGTAACAAGAACAAGAAAAAAAAGGAATACATAAATATTTAGGCTAAAATAAATAAAACAATAAAGCAAACTAGCAATAAAAACCCATGCCCTTCATTGGACTATTCCTTATTTTTGTATGGAGGAGCAGTGGGTGCAGTCTAAAATATTCTCCATTGTTTCCTTTCATTTGTTTTTTTAAATTTTCTTCATTGTGGGTACTTATAACAAGCACAGACCAGCCTGTTCTTTGCACTAATAGTCAAAGCCATCTTGTCATTATATGTAAAACATAACTAGATTTCTATGCAGATAACTCCCCTCCTCTATTGTCAGCTATTGTTGCAACTAAGAATAAAATCAAAGTGTCACAACTCTTTTTTCCTATTTGCATGCATTTCAAAGAAAATCTCATTTATTTTAAAGTGATATCTATCCAACAGCCTGCTCAAGATAATGAAAATTCATGTTTGGCTTACTGAGACAAAAAATTCCTCAAGGGTAAATTGTTAAAATTTTATGATTTGGCCAAACCTTGTGACATGGTATCTTTTGCTCAAGATCTTGAAGGGTAGCAGAATATGTTTCTTCAAAATATACCACTTTGGTAGAAGGATTATTTTGAGTTGAAGACAATTGAGAAGATACAAGAAAGTTCTCTGCTTTCATCCACTTACCTAAAAGCAGGATTTAAATTTTCCAAAGTGTCCCTCCTTCTCTGTCTACCAGGAAGGACAATACTTAACCACTGGAGACAGACTTTAGATCCTTATACACTTAGCCTGGAGATGGCACCAGAGGCATCTACGTAACAAACTTTACTATGTAGGCTTAACTTACCATTAGTTTCTCAGCTCATTGCAAGCTCCGCCTCCCAGGTTCACGCCATTCTCCTGCCTCAGCCTCCTGAATAGCTGGGACTACAGGTACCCGCCACAACGCCCAGCTAATTTTTTGTACTTTTTTAGTAGAGACAGGGTTTCACCATGTTAGCCAGGATGGTCTCAATCTCCCCACCTTGTGATCTTATTCAAAAAATTTTTAAAGGTTTTATATTCTCTCCACTGAATTGCCTTTGTACCTTAGTCAAAAAACAGTTGTTTCTATTTACGTGGGTGTATTTCTGGACTATTTATTCTGTTGCATTAGTCTACTTGTTTAATTCAACTCCACTACAACAGTCTCTTATTATTATACCTTGATAATAAGTCCCCAAATCAGATAGGGTTAGCTTTATAACATATTTTTTCCTTATTTCAATCATTCTGGCTATTTTAGATCCTTTGCATTTTCACATGAAATTTAGAAATTGCTTGACAAATCCTACAAGCCTGCTGAAAATTTGATAGGCATTACATTTAATCTAATGGACTGTTTTGATGAGAATTTGCATTTTTACTATGTTGACTCATCCTACCTATGTACATAGTATGATTCTCTAATTATTAGGCTGCCTTTAATTGCATTCATCAGAAGTTTGTAGTATTCATTAGATAAGTCATACATATTTTGTTACGTTTATTTTGTCATAACTACTAGGAATGTTAACAATATTGAATTTTCTGACCCATGAACAAAGTATATTTCTCCAGGCTTTAGGTCTTCTTTAAATTCTCTCAGCAATGTTTCATAGTTTTTAGTGTACAGCACATTTTTGTCATTTTTTCAGATCTCTAATTCATATATTTATGCTATTGTAAATAAGATTTTAAAATGTTAATGTCCAATTGTTTGCTGCTAATTTATAAAATACTATTGATTTTTGATATTGATCCTATATCCTGTGGTATGGCTACAATTGCTTATTTGTAGTAGCTTTAAAAATTATTCCAGTGGATTTTCTACCTAATTATATTGTTAGTGAATAAAACAATTTGATATCCTGCTTTCCAGTCCTTCCAATTTTATTTTCTTGCCTTATCACATTGGCTAGAATTTTTAGTGTAATAATGAATAAAAGTTTGAAAATTGGAGTCCGTAAATTGTTCCTCGTCTTACAGGGGAAAGATTAAGTCTTTCATCTTTAAGTATGATTGAGCAGTAGAATTTAGGTAGATGCCCTTCATTAAGTTGATGTTCTTTCTCAGTTTCATTTATTTGTACTTTGCTGAGAGTTTTTTTTAAGCATAAAATGATGTTGAATTTTGTCAAAATTTTAAATATCTAATCAGATGTTTATATGGATTTTCCTTTTGAGTTTTCTAACATTGTGGATTACATTGACTGATACTAAATGATAAACCAAACTTATATTTCTTGGATAAACTACACTTGATTTTAATATAGTCAAACTTTTTTAAATTGTTGAGTTTGATTTGATAAAATTTTGTTTAGGATTTTTACATCTATGTTCATAAGGTAGATTGGTATGCATTTGTTTTCTCTAATGTCTTTGTTTTGCTATCAGAGAAATGTTGGCCTCATAAATAGACAAGTATTCCGTTCTCTCAAATTTCGAGAAAGAGACTTGGCAGAATTGGTATTTATTCTTTAAATGTTCAGTAGAATTCACCAGAAAAGCCATCTGGACCTGGAGTTTTCTTTTGTAGACAGGTTTTTTTTTTTTTTTTCAAACTACAATTTCAAGTTCTTTAATAGAAGCTTCAGACTACTTGTTTCTCTTATTTTTTCTCTGGTAGTTTGTGCCTTTCTGGGAGTTTATTGATTTAATCTAAATTGTTTAATTTACCACCATAAATTTGTTCATAATATTTTATTATCATCCTTGTAATATCTATAGAACTTGTAGTGATGTAACCTCTGTTATTCTTGCTGGTAATTTATATTTTCTGCCTTATCAATTTTATTGATCTCCTAAAGAAAGTTTTGATTTCATTGATTTTCTATTTTTTTGTTGCCTTTGTAATTGATTTTCATTCTGATATTTATTCTGTTCTTTTTTTGCATTCTGTGGGTTTAACTTTTATCTTCTTTTTCTAATATATTAAGGCAGAAGCTGAGGTCATTGATAATTCTCTACCATAGATGATTAATCCTATAAATCTATTTCTAAGTATGACTTTAGTGTGTCATTCAACACATTTTGATATAAAGGTGTTAATTTACAGTCTGGTCAAGATAAATAACTTGGGTCAAACAAAAATGAATAGGAAAATTTTAAAAATTGTATGTGCTTTCCTTAGTATTTTACTACCTCCTTCTGAATAGAGATTTTCCAGAAACATTTCTATTACTTCTTTTTTTTATGGGAGATATTTTCTTTATGTTTATTTGTATTTTTACTATTTCTACCATGAATATGAATTACGTGTGCATTTTTAAAAACTTGTTTTAAAATACAATTAAAATTCCCAAGAGGGCTAAACATGTAATGATAAGTACATGTTTATGTTTATAAGAAACTGTGTTACCCTTTTTTAGGGTGGTATCTTTCTTAGGGTGGTATATATAACTTTCTTTATCCACTTGTTGATTGATGGGCATTTGGACTGGTTCCATATTTTTGCAACTTCAAACTGTGCTGCTTTAAACATGCATGTGCAAGTATCTTTTTTGTATAATGACTTCTTTTCTTCTGGGTAGATACCCTATAGTGGGATTGCTGGATCAAATGGTAGTTATACTTTTAGTTCTTTAAGGAATCACCATACTGTTTTCCACAGTGGTTGTACCAGTTTACATTCACACCAGCAGTGTAAAGGTGTTCCCTTTTCACCACATACATGCCAACATTATTATTTTTTGATTATGGCCATTCTTGCAGGAGTGAGGTGGTATAACATTGTGGTTTTGATTTGCATTTCCCTGATAATTAGTAATGTTGAGCATTTTTTTTTCATATGCTTCTTGACCATTTGTATATCTTCTTTTGAGAATTGTCTATTCATGTCCTTAGCCCACTTTTTGATGAAATTGTTTGTTTTTTTCTTGCTGATTTGTTTGAGTTCCTTGTGGATTCTGGATATTAGTCCTTTGTTGGAAGTATAGATTGCAAATATTTTCTCCCGCTCTGTGGGTTGTTTGTTTACTCTGCTGATTATTTCTTTTTCTGTGCAGAAGCTTTTTAGTTTAAATAAGTCCTATGTGTTTATCTTTGTTTTTATTGCATTATTTTATTTTATTGCATTATTTCATTATCATGAAGTCTTCACCTAAGCCAATGTCTAGAAGGGTTTTTTCAATATTATATTCTAGAATTTTTATAGTTTCAGGTTTTAGATTTAAGTCTTTGATCAATCTTGGGTTGATTTTTGTATAAGGTGAGAGATGAGGATTCAGTTTCATTCTTCTACAATGTGGCTTGCCAATTATCCCAGCACTATTTGTTGAATAGGATGTCCTTTCCCCACTTTATGTTTTTGTTTGCTTTGTCTAAGATCTTTGGTTATAAGTATTTGGGTTTATTTCTGTGTTCTCTATTCTGTTCCTTTCGTCCATGTACCTATTTTTACACCAGTACCAGGCTGTTTTGGTAACTGTGACTTATTAATATAGTTTGAAGTCAGATAATGTGATGCCTCTAGATTTGTTCTTTTTGCTTAGTCTTGCTTTGGCTATGTGGGCTCTTTTTTGGTTCCATATAAATTTTAGGATTTTTTTTCTACTTCCGGGAATGAGCATGGGAGGTGTTTCCATTTGTTTGTGTCATCTATGATTTATTTCAGCAGTGTTTTGTAGTTTTCTTTGTAGTGGTCTTTTACTTTCTTGGTTAGGTATATTTGTAAGTATTTTATTTTTTGCAGCTATTGTAAAAGAAATTGAGTTTTTGATTTGATTCTCAACTTGGTCACTGTTGGTGTATAGCAGAGCTACTGATTTGTGTGTGTTAATTTTCTATCCTGAAACTTTGCTGAATTTATTTACCAGTTCTAGGAGCTTTTTGCAGGCATCTTTAGGGTTTTCTAGACATACAGTCATGTCATCAACAAACAGCGACAGTTTGACTTTCTCTTTAACAATTTGGATGCCCTTTATTTCTTTCTCTTTTTTGATTGCTCTGGCTAGGGCTTCCAGTACTATGTTGAATAAGAGTGGTGAAAGTAGGCAATCTTGTCTTGTTCCAGTTCTCAGGGGGAATGCTTTCAACTTTTCCCCACTCAGTATAATGTTGGCTGTGGGTTTGTTATAGATAGCTTTTATTACCTTAAGGTATGTCACTTCTAAACTGATTTTGCTGAGGATTTTAATCATAAACTGAGGGTAGGTTTTGTCAAATGCTTTTTCTGCATCTACTGAGTTAATCATATGATTTTTATTTTTAATTCTGTTTATGTGGTGTATCACATTTATTGACTTGTGGATGATAAACTATCTCTGCATCCCTGGTATGAAACCATCTTGATCATGGTGGATTATCTTTTTGTTATGTTGTTGGATTTGGTTAGCTAGTGTTTTGTTGAGGTTTTTTGTATCTATGTTCATCAGAGATATTGGCCTATAGTTTTCTTTTCTTGTTATGTTCTTTCCTGGTTTTGGTATTAGGGTGATATGGTTTGGCTGTGTCCCCACCCAAATCTCATCTTGAATTGTAACTCCCACAATTCCCATGTGTCATGGGAGGAACGTGGTGTGAGGCAATTGAATTATTGGAGTATGTCGTTTCTGCATTGTTCTCATGATAGTGAATAAGTCTTATGAGATCTGATGGCTTTAAAAATGGGAGTTTCCCTGCACAAGTTCTCTCTTTGCTTGCTGCCATCCCTGTAAGATGTGACTTGCTTCTCCTTGCCTTCTGCCATGATTGTGAGGCTTCCTCAGCCACGTAGAACTGTAAGTCCATTAAACGTCTTTCTTTTGTAAATTTCCCAGTCTCAGGTATGTCTTTTTCAGCAGCGTGAAAACAGACTAATACTTAGGGTGATACTGGCATCATCTAATGATTTAGGGAAGATTCCCTCTTTCTCTATGTTTTGGAATAGTGTCAGTAGGATGGGTACAAATTCTTCTTTGAATGTCTGATAGAAATCAGCTGTGAATCCATCTGGTCCTGGACTTTTTTTTGTTGGTAACTTTTTTTTTTACCATTTCAATCTTGCTGTTTGATATTGGTCTGTTCAGAGTTTCTATTTCTTCCTGGTTTAATCTAGGAGGGTTGTACACCTTCAGGAATTTATCCATCTCCTCTAGGTTTTCTAGTTTATGTATGTAAAGGTGTTCATAGCCTTGCATGATCTTTTGTATTTCTGTGGTATTGGTTGTAATATTTCCTGCTTAGTTTCTAATTGAGCTTATTTTGATCTTCTCTATCCTTTTTTTGTTGGTTAATCTTGCTAATGGTGTATCAATTTCATTTATCTTTTCAAATAATCAGATTTTTGTTTCATTTACCTTTTGTTTTGTTTTTTTGTTTCAATTTCATTTAGTTCTGTTCTGACCTTGGTTATTTCTTTTCTTCTGCTAGGTTTGGGTTTGGTTTGTTCTTTTTCCTCTAGTTCCTTGAGGTATGACCTTAGATTGTCTATTTGTGCTCTTTCAGACTTTTTGATGTAGGCATTTAATGCTATGAACTTTCCTCTTAGTACCACCTTTGCTTTATCCCGGAGGTTTTGATAGGTTGTGTCACTATTATCACTCAGTTCAAATAATCTTTTAATTTCTTTCTTGATTTCACTGTTGATCAAATGATCATTCAGGAGCAGGTTATTCAATTTCCACATATCTGCATGGTTTTGAGGGTTCCTTTTGGAGGAAATTTCTAATTTTATTCCTCTGTGGTCTGAGAGAGTACGTGCTATAATTTCAATTTTCTTAAATTTGTTGAGACTTGTTTTGTGCTCTATGATATGTTCAACCTTAGATAATATTCCAAGTGCTGATGAATAGAATGTATATTCTCCAGTTTTTGGGTAGAATGTTCTGTAAATATCTGTTAAGTCCATTTATTATACGGTATAGTTTAAATCCATTGTTTGTTGAATTTCTATGTTGATGACCTGCCTATCACTGTAAGTGGAGTATTGAAGTCCCCCATTATTATTGTGTTGCTGCCTATCTCATTTCTTAGGGCTAGTGGTTAGTAACTGTTTTGTAAATTTGGACACTTCAGTGTTAGGTGCATATATATTTAGGTTGTGATATTTTCCTGTTGTACTAGTCCTTTTATCAGTGTATAATGTCCTTCTTTGTCTTTTTTTAACTGCAGTTGCTTAAAAGTTTCCTGTGGCTGATGTAAGAACAGCTACTCCTGCTCGCTTTTGGTATCCATTTGCATGGAATGTCTTTTTGCTTTCTTTTACCTTAAGTTTTTGTGAGTCTCTTGAAAGCAGCAGATACCTGGTTAGTGAATTCTTATCTGTTCTACCATTCTGTATCTTTTAAGTGGAGCATTTAAGCCATTTACATTTAATGTTCGTATTGAGATGTGAGGTACTATTCAATTCATTGTGCTATTTGTTGCCTAAATACTTTGTTTACTTTTTTATTATTCTTTTGTAGGTCATGTGAGTTTTATGCTTTAAGAAGATTCTATGTTGGTGTATTTTGAGGATTTGTTTTAAGATTTTGGGCTTCTTTTAGCAGTTTTAGTTGTGTTGCTTTGGTAATGGCAAATTATCTCAGCATTTGTTTCAAAAAGACTGTATCTTTTATTCATTTATGGAGCTTAGTTTTGCTGGATAAAAAATTCTTGGCTGATAATTGTTTTGTTTAAGGAGGCTAAAGATAGGACCCCAATCCCTTCTAGCTTGAAGGGTTTCTGCTGAGAAATCTGCTGTTAGTCTGATAGTTTTTTTTTAATAGGTTACCTGATGATTTTGCCACACAATTCTTAAGAATTTTTCCTTTGTCTTGATTTTAAATGACCTGATGACAATGTGCTGAGATGATGATCTTTTTGCCATGAACTTCCAAGGTGTTCTTTGAGCTCCTTGTATTTAGATGTCTGGATCTCCAGCAAGGCCAGGGACGTTTTTCTTGATTATTCCTGCAAATATGTTTTCCAAACTTTTAGATTTCTTTTCTTCCTTGGGAACACGAATTATTCTTAGGTTTGGTTGTTTAGCATAACTCCAAGCTTCTTGAAGGCTTTGTTCATTTTTAAAACTATTTTTTTCTTTGTCTTTGCTAAATTGGGTTAATTTGAAAACCTTATCTTTGAGATCTGAAGTTATTTTTTCTACTTGTTTGATTCTATTGTTGAGACTTTCCAGTGGATTTTGCATTTCTCTAAGTGTGTCCTTCTATTCCAGAAGTTGTATATGTTTTTTATTTATGCTATTGATTTCACTGGAGATTTTTCCATTCATATCCTGTATCTTTTTTTTTATTTCTTTAAGTTAGACTTCACCTTTCTCTGGTGCCTTCTTGAGTAGTTTAATAATCAACCTTCTGTATTCTTTTTCTGGCAATTCAGAGATTTCCTCTTGGTTTGGATCCATTGCTGGTGAACCAGTGTTATCTTTTGGGGGTGTTAAAAAACCTTATTTTGTCTTATTACCAGGATTGTTTTCCTGGTTCCTTCTCATTTGGGTAGACTATGTCAGAAGAAAGGTCTGGGACTCAAGGGCTGCTGTTCAGATTCTTTTTTCCCATGGGGTACTCCCTTGATGTGGTGCTCCCCTTGTCCCCTAGGGGTAGGGCTTCCTGAAAGCTGAGCTGCAGTGATTGTTATTTATCTTCTGGATCTAGCCACCCAGTGGAGCTACTGGGCTCTGTGCTGGTACTGGGGAGTGTCTGCAAAGAGTCTCGTGATGTGATCCATCTTCAGGTCTCTCAGCCACGGATACCAGCACCTTCTCCAGTGGAGGCAGCAGGGGAGTGAGGTGAACTCTGTGAGGGTCCTTAGTTGTATTTTTGTTAAGTGCACTGGTTTTGTGTTGGCTGGCCTCCAGCCAGTAGGTGGCATTTTCAAGAGCATATCAGCTGCAGTAGTATAGGGAGGATCAGGAGGTGGGCAGGACCATAGAGCTCCCAAGAGATTATATTCTTTGTCTTTGGCTACCAGGGCAGATAGAGAAAGACCGTCAGGTGGGGGTGGGGTTAGGCATGTCTGAGCTCAGTCTCTCCTTGGACAGGGATTGCTGCAGCTGCTGTGTGGTATGGGGATGTAGTTCCCAGGTCACTGGAGTTATGTACGCAGGGAGATTATGGCTACCTCTGCTGCATCACACAGGTCACCAGGGAAGTGGGGGAAAGCTGGTAGCACAGGCCTCCCCCAGCTCCTACACAGCCTGCAGCCTTAAAAGGCAGTCTCACCTACACTGTGACCCCCCAACAGCACTGAGTTTATTTCCAGGCAGTTGGTGAGCAGGGCTAACTTACCCAAGGCTACAAGCCTTCCAGCTGAGAAAGCAAGCTGACTCACAGTTCCTCGGCTGTCCCACCAAGACTGCAGCAGCAATCCACCTTCTTTAAAGGGTCTGTGGATTCTCTTGGCTTTCCTGGTATGTTCCTGCAGTAGTTCTTGGAGCAAAAGTTCACCATGTGGGTCTCCACATGCTGCTCCTCTATCTCTTTGAGTGGGCACTGCAAGTTAGTCCTGCCTCCTATCCACCATTTTTTCTAAGACTCCCAGTTCTATTACTGCTTTCTGATTTAATTCCCTTGCGTTTGAGAACATGCTGCATATGACTTGATTCCTTTTAAATTTAATGAGGCTTGTTTTCTGGCCTGTCTTGGTAAATATTCTATTATTTGGTCATTATTTCATCAAACAGTTTTGTCTCTTCAGCTTTTTCCTTTTCTTCGCAGAATTCAATTACATGTACATCAGGCTGCCTTAAGTTATCCTACAGCTCACTGATCTAATTTTGTTTCATTCTTTTTTCTCTCTGTATTTCATTTTGGGTAGTTTCAGTTGCCATGTCTTTATTAATATTTTCTTCTGCAATGTCTAATCTGCTGTTAATCCATTTCAGTGTATTTTTCATCTTAATGTGTAGTTTCAATATCTAGAGATTTGATTTGAGGGTTTGGCATATTTTCCATGTATATTTAACTTTCTGAATATCCTGAACAGCTATAATACCTGTTTTAATGGTCTTGACTCCTAATTGTAGTATTGATTTCAGGACTGGGTCAGTTTTGATTGGTTCATTTCTCTCCTAATTATGGGTCTTTGCTTGCCTGTTAATCTTTGATTGGATAAATGAAATTGTAAATTTTATCTTTCTGGTTGCTGTATATTTTTGTGTTTCTCTAAATATTCTTAAGTTTTCAGATGCAATGTAGTAACTTACAAAGTAGTTTGTGTCTTGCTGATAAGAATTCTTGAGCTGGATCAGAGCAGCAGTTTTGCCTAGGGATAATTTTTCCCTCCTACTGAGACAGATCTTTATGAATTATCTAATCAATTCCTCATGAATTATGAGCTTTTTCTATCTGACTGGTGGTAATAGGTACTATCTAGGCCCCGTGTGGGTGCTGGCACCGCACTCTCTAATGCTGTTGGATGGTTCTTTCCTCAGCCTCAATTTGTTTCCGTACATGCATCAGCCAATCAGGACACTGATGAATACCAACAGGATGCTCTGCAGATCTGCAGTTATCTTTTTGCATAGGTTTCTCCTCTCCACTTTTCTGGGTTGCAAACTGTATCTGCCTTGGTCCACCTGGACTTTCAGTTTAATCTACTTAACTCTGAAAGTCTACTGGGCTCTACCTGGATTCTTTCTCACTCTGCTGTGGCCTACAAATTCTCTCAAGGCATTAAGCTCTAAAAATTGTAGCCCTTACTCCATTTGTTTCCCATTTCTCAGAGATCACTGCCTTTTGTTGCCTGAAATTCAGTATTTTGAAAACCACTGGTTTGTATACTTATCTTTCTGTATTTCCCCATCTCTCTCATCATTTCTTTCCAACTCTCCATCCCTGACCTCTCCCCATTCACTGATTTGTTTCCATGAAATAGGATAAATTTGAGGCCTCTTTTATCCCATCTTGGCCATAAGTGGAAATTCATTTTTAAGCAAGTACGATTTTAAAATAATATAAAGAAAAGAAGATGGGTTAACCATCCTGAGGCAAAGTAGACTTCATGCAGCATGCTCTCGTAAATATAAATGTGATCAAAGAATGGCCTCTTGAAAGGGTCAGGAGGTTTACTGCTAATGTGGTAAATAGAATGCTGCTGCTCTTGGAGATTACGAGAAAGTGACACAAATATTGAGTTACTTAGCATCAATGGCTGGATTATTTTATAAACAAAGTGAAGAAATTAGGCTTAATGGCCACTGGGTACTTTCTAATGTTTGCATCAATCAACTGTATTCTTTATGGTGAGATGATTTTCACCAACTTTTTTCAGTATCACATACTTTCACAAAATATTTATATTAAAATGTTCGAGTCTATACTGGCTGTCTATTTCCTCACTGAACTTTACCATCATATACTAAACAACACTGATATTTACTAATGACTACTCAATAATCTCATATCTCTGATGTCTTTGTGTTAAACACATACAATATTTGAAACCGGAATCAGACCAATTTAAATACAGAGTTTTACAAACATGGAACGTCTTGAGCCTGGCAGAAAAATAATAAAGGCAAAAACCTCGCTCAGAGCCCAACTGACCTTTCCTGTTACTGATTTAACAAAATATTTCAAAGAAATTCAAAACTGACCTTTCTGCTCCACATTTCATGGCTGCGTTTCTGCCCATGGACCTAATCAGTACAATTCTCATTGTGCTGGAAACCTGGCAGAGAAAGAGAAAGAAAAACGCTTTCTTAGCAAAGGCTGAGGAACAATACAGAATGGGGGAAAAAACTCAGTTTCTAGTAAATAGCTACCTGAAAACAGCTATTTTTATTAGAACCTTTTTAACATTCATCCTATCCAAACTTTAAGATTTTTTTTTTCTCTCAAAGTGCATGCATAGTAGTGGAGAGGTTATTTTGGTATGCTTTTGAACTCAGAAGAGAATAAAGTTATCAGATTTGACAAAGAAGTTGCAGAAAAGTGTTTTTAGTTAAAAAATGAACATTAAATAACATTTTTGGAAGTGGAGAAATTAAATCATTTTAACCATTCTTATCTCTCTCTCTCCATTCTTTTCTAATGATTCACAGTAATAAGCCAATAGAATAATTCATTATTCATAGTAAATAATGAATATTGTATTCTTTCTTTTCCCTCTTGGCCCTTGTGGTACACCAGAATACAGTGACCATATCTGATTCATCATATGAATTAATTTAAAGAGGATTAGTTAACTAATAATTCTCACAAATCATCAGACTTGCTGGGAGCATCAAAATTCCCTTGTTTTCTTAGCTTCTGTTTGTGTCACCAATCTAAATGCCCATCAGTGACAGACTGGATAAAGAAAATGTGTCACATATACACAATGGTATACTATGCAGCCATAAAAAAGAACAAAATTACATCCTTTGCAGTAACATGGATGGAGCTGGAGGTCATTATCCCAAGTGAACTAAAATGGGAAGAAAAAAAACAAATACTGCATGTTCTCACTTACAAGTGGGAGCTAAATATTGAGTACACATGAACACAAAGAGAAACAGCAGACACTTGGGCCTACTTGAGGTTGGAAGGTGGAGAGTGGTGGGGTGGAGGAGAGTAAGGTACTATGGTACTCCTATTAGGTACTACCTATTGGGTACTATGCTGATTATCTCGGTGAGCGAAGAATTTTTACACCAAACCTCCACGACACACAATTTACCTATGTAGCAAACCTCCACATGTAACCCTGAAATTAAAATAAAAGTTAAAAGAAAAATTCAACTGAGAAACACAGATGAAGCGTTGAGTAAATGTAAAGAAATGCCTTGTTCCTAGAGAGGAAGATACAGTGTGATAGTATTATTTTTCTTCTAGATTAAAATAACATGTTAAACAGGATTACTAAATGTAGGCCTGGCGTGGTGGCTCACACCTATATTCCCAACAATTTGGGATGCCAAGGTGGAAGAATTACTTGAGTTCAGGAGTTTGATACTAGCTTGGGCAACATAGCAAAACCTTATCTCTACTAAAATAAAAAAAAATTAGCCAGGCATGATGGCAGGTTTCTGTAGTGCCAGCTCCTTGAGATGCTGAGGTGGGATAATCACTTGAGCCCAGGAGTTTGAGGAGCCAGTGAGCTTTGATTGTGCCACTGCACTCCAGCCTAGGTGACAGAGCGAGATCCTGTCTCTTAAAAAAAAAATAAATTTATTTTTAGTTTTTAGGGGGAGGAGACAATGGGTGTGTGTGCGGGGTAACTATAGAAACTAATGCTACTATTTCCTACTATTTCCAGCATTTATTTTTGCTTTCCTCCCTCACATCACACCAAAACAAAACAAAATTAAAAGAAAAACAGATAAAAAAAATCCATTTAATGAAATAAATTGCTATTACTTCCAAATATAAACTATAATGAATATCTGTAAAATATAACAAAACCTTGACAAGGACAAGGAAGCATGCTGAATAGTACAATTGTCTTTTCTGATCTGAAAAAGAAAGAGATTTTCCCAAATGTCAATCTCAGCATACTAAATGTCTAAGATTTAGTTAGATTGATTATTTTGGCCAAAAGCAATGAGAATTCCTCTATGGTTAAAAATGTCATAAAGAAAGTCAGAAGATAAATTTATAAGAAAGGAAAAATATTTGCAACAAAATCGCAATTTTCCTTATAAGCCAGAATCTCTTATAAATAATGAAAAAAGCGATTCCAACACGACAAAATTTGAAAAAGATACAACTGTTTGTTGAATGAATAACAGTGACTTAGAAGCATAAAAATATAACTGAGATAATATTTTTCACCTAACAAGTGCCAAGATTAAAGATCTGATACATGCAATGCTTAGAGGATGTTGAAAATGGGCATTTTCACCTACTGTTGCTGTAAGTTTAAACTGATCCCAAGTTTTTGAAGGACAATTTGGCAATCCTTCATTTGCTGTAAGGTATCTTAAATTTACCATTCTACAAATAAGACCTTGATCCTTTGCTTTGATATTTTGTTTTGTTGCACTTTTCCAATCAGAGCAGCAGTTTTAGTGTGCACAGAACAATGTGTCTAACTCTGATGTTCAATGTGTACACGTAATTTACGTAATGATCTTCTATTGTGATTTTTTTTTTGAGCTTTTTTTTTTATTATTATTATTACACTTTTAAGTTTTAGGGTACATGTGCACAATGTGCAGGTTAGTTACATATGTATACATGTGCCATGCTGGTGTGCTGCACCCATTAACTCGTCATTTAGCATTAGGTATATCTCCTAATGTTATCCCTCCCCCCTCCCCCCGCCCCACAACAGTCCCCAGAGTGTGATGTTCCCCTTCCTGTGTCCATGTGTTCTCATTGTTCAATTCCCATCTATGAGTGAGAACAAAAATCTGGACAAGCAGGAATGGAATCCTACAATGAACAAAAACCAATTGCGAAATGGTTTGAGGCAGAGTGTGGTTCAGTCAGGGATGTTGGAAGCTGGAGTAGACAGGATTATTTCTCAGATGGTGGATCCAAAACTTAACCACATCTTCAGGCCACAAATAGAACGAGCAATTCATGAGTTCCTGGCGGCCCAGAAAAAAGCAGCTGTGCCAGCACCCCCTCCAGAGCCCGAAGGCCAGGACCCTCCAGCTCCATCCCAGGACACTTCCTAAGAATATGCCAGACACCTTTTGAAAGCTAATTTTTGGTGAAGAAATGGATTCGGTTACGTAAGAGTGCAACTTCAGACTGAAGGTAGGCCAAGGTCGTCACTGATCTCAAGATTTCAACCTTGACCATGGGCAGTGACCAGATTGAAAGGGGAGCAAGTTCTATTGTGATTTTTAAAGACAAGTTACAAATAGAGAATATTTTTAAATGATTGCTAAGGACAGTAAAAATTGTGACAAATAAAAATGACCATGTTTCAAACAGTAATTTCTAAAATAATCTCAAACAGTAACTGTGACAGCGGGCATGATCATTGGTACTCCAGAGTAGAGACCTACCTTGGCTTTTGGGGATGGCTGGATTTCCATTTGTTCACCATAAAGCAAGCCACACTTAGCTACACAGATTGGAAAAGTATATTTTTTAAATATAAAAATACTGCCAAAGATCCCCAGATAGTTACAGAAAGTAAAGGATATGAATGAGAAAGACAAGCATAAATTATCAGGGGGAAAAAAACTCACCTATGAACAATTTAATTTAGACAATAGAAAATAAACAAGAAAGCACTAAAATATGTCCTTGGAAATATTCAAGAACCTATTGTATTTTTATAAATGTAATTCTATAAAAAAAGAAAAATCAAATATCAAGAACACTGAAAATTAAAAGTGCATTTGCAGAATAAGCAACTCTATAGCACAGTAGAAGAATTAGGGGGTCCCACACCTCACTAGTAAAGAGAGATCGGAGAGAATAACAGGAGGGGAATTATGAAAGAGGTAGAGTAGAAAAATTCCCCCAGAGAAAAACTAAAAAGTTTCAAAAAGCTTCTAGGAAGAAAAAAGGTGTCTTATAAAGAATTAAGAATCAGACTGGTGTTTGACTTGTCATTATTATCAGGATTATGAAGGGAATGGACTCTTTGAGTTCTGAGGAGAAAAACATTTAACTAGAGGTTTATATCTAGACAAATGTGAGGGGCAACATAGCATTCCAGACATGGTAAAACTAAAACTAGTAAAGTTTTGGAAATGAAAGAATAAATTAAGAGCAGAGACAGTCATGGGATCCAAATGCACATTAGATCAACCCAAGAGAGTAGGTAAGTCCTGTCCCAGTAAGGCAGGTCTGCCTGTGCCAGTAAGACAGGTGTGCAGTAGGACTAGAAATATCCACTTTAGGACAGCACTGGAAAGTGGACCCCTCTTGGTGAAAGTATTGAGTAAAGAAAATAGAATAAACAAAATGACTGTAAACATGCAGAAGTATTGAAGACGTGTTGGAGGGTTAAAAATTAATATATGACTATTTTCCAACTTGACATCATGTGATATTGGACCTATAGAAGAGGTTGTAATCTTTGTATGTGGCTTGGCTCTGTGGTAAACAGTATAATATCATAAAAATGCAAACATTGTTTATTCTTTTTATTCTTAGAGTCAACTTATGATTAAATAACAAAATGCGGATATTAGCAACCATGCCAAATCAATGCATAGATGATGGGTTGGGAATGCAAGAGATGATAGAAGACGTGGAAGGAAGATTAGCAAATGGAGCATCAAAGATGTTGTTCCAAAGATGATGGGAAAATAAAATGAAGGTTTAAGAATTATTTCTGAAATTCCAGAGCTCACTGGTGACAGGAATGATGCTGTGATGGAATTTTACCAGTTAGATATGGAGTTTGGACAGGCAAGATATAGTAGGTGTAAATGATCTAGATCCTTATCTATCTCAGGAGACAATCAATAGGTAATGCCAAAGTCTGTCCAAAATATAGCAGTGCAAGCACAATACTGGAAGATATAAAAATATTTTAAGAAGTTAAATGGAAATAACCAAAATTTCTACTGTTGAGATTTAGGACCAGAGGAGTGGAGGAATAAGACAGAGGACTATTTTTTTCATTATATATCCTGCTGAATTTTAAATCAAGTACGTGTATTAGTTTAATTTTTGAAACTTCAAAATGTACATATGTGTTAATTGTAAACAGGCCCAAAGTGGTCAATTTAAAAAAATTGTGTTAAATATAAGTTATTTAGTAATTTATTCATTATTTCATCATTCACTCCACAAATAAATTTTGAATGCGTATTATGTACTATTTCAGGACCTCAGAATATAGCAAAAACATTTAAAAAAGAAAACAAGATAAATAAGTTTCCTGCTTCCATGGGGTTTGCATTCTGAAGAGAATAAGCAAGCAAGGCCATGGAAGAGAGAGGGGATTTCAAATAATTTGCTAACTTGCTGTCAAGAAAAAGCAAATAAGGTGAGGATGATAAACATGCTGTTTTAGATTTGGTGACCAGAGAAGGACTCTCTAAAGTACAGCCATAGGACTGAGATCCATATAAGAACTAGCCTTAGGACTGAGATCTGTATCAGAACCAGCTAGTCAAATGAGGACCAAGAAGCAGAACTGTCTGCAAGGATTTTTTTTTTTTTTAACAATAAGTGAACTTTGCCATATACTCTCATCATGTGATCTCTCTGTTAGGAAATCACTAAATGAAAATGTGCTATTTATTCCACAATAAATCTTAATGTACATAAATATATCTCTTTACATTTAAACAGATGATGTTTTTCTTACCTGGTAAAAAGAATAAACAAAAAGACTGACTATTGCATTGATGAAGGCCTGTGCTTACCAAACACACACACACACAGACACACACACACCCACACATTATGATACAACCCCATGATCATACATACAACTGGACAAAAATTAGATAATAATTATTAATGTGTTAATGAAATGCAAAATGTTTGTGTCTTGTGAAAATTTGTCTATGATGTAAACATTCTTCCAATGATTTGAATTCCAGAATATATTTCTCTTAAAATAAAGAAACCTGCACCATTTTGACCATCAGCCTGCCAATAAACTACAAGATGGTTTGGCAAATTATCTAGACTAAAGACAGATGACAATATTTTATATTGATTATTTCAAAAAAAAGATCAAAAGTAAGTTTCATCTGAATGTAGAGTGAATGTAATACGTTTTAGATTTTTACCATTATTACATGTAGAATTTTAAATGTGGATGATTTGTTTAAATTAGTTTTTTTTTCAGATGGAGTCTCGCCCTGTTGCCCAGGCTGGAGTGCAATGGTGCGATGTTGGCTCACTGCAACCTCCGCCTCCTGGGTTCAAGCAATGCTCCTGCCTCAGTCTCCCAAGTAGCTGGAATTACAGGCGTGCCATCACGTCCAGCTAATTTTTTGTATCTTTAGTGGAGATGGGGTTTCACCATGTTGGCCAGGCTGGTCTCAAACTCTTGACCTCGTGATTTGCGTGCCTCGGCCTCCCGAAGTGCTGGAATTACAGGCGTGAGCCACTGCGCCCGGCCGATTTGCTTAACTTTTATACTCAGATATAGAGCGTCGTGTTCATCAACTCTTCAATTCATAGCACACTATTCATCATTAGTCCATGCAAGTCTCTCTCTTGTTCTGTGCATGTATGCATGTGTACTTGCATATGAATGTGTATGTATTACGCATGTATGAATTCACACGAGTGTGCATGAATGTTTGTATTCCCTTTTATCCCCATTTCCCAGGTCCATTCTTTTGCTTTCCATAGGCAACCATTATTTAACGTGTATTATTTCTATGTATTGTGAACTTTGTATTGAACATTGATATTAATTACTTTTAATTATTGTAAATATAATTGTGCTATAGGACTCATTCTTTTTCTTACTTGTAAACTCAGAAATATATTTGAAGATCTATATACATTATATACTTAGTTTGTTGCTTCCGAGATTTACCCAGTACTCTACACTGTGAAGTCACTAAAATTTACTTATCTCCATTTGCTAAGTGGTAGCTAATGACATTGCCTCCAACTTCTTACTACCACAAATAACCATCATAATTATCCCACTGATTTGGTGTGACAATTTCTCAAAGATGTAAATATTCAGGAGTAGAAAGCTGGATTATAGAGTATACACATATTTAACATCAATTTGGACTGTCAATACTTGGCAATATCAAATTTTCTACTTTTTTTCCCAATCTGATGGGTGCAAATTAATATCTCATTATTATTTTAATTTGCATTTATTTAATTACCAATGAGTATAAGTATCCAATCATATGCTTGTTAGTCTTTTGGAATTCAACTTTTGTGAGAATAGCCTATTGATATCATTTGCTTATTTTTCTGTGTGGGTTTTTGTCTTTTCATGTTCATTTCTGGGAATTTCTTTTATCGCCTAAATATCATGCCCTATTTTACATATGGTGAATACATTTTTAATCTGTCATCTCTTTTAAAATTTTATCCATTGCATCATTCACTGAAAAGAAATACTTTTTATGATTTTTATCCTTAATCATTTTTGCCATATAGTTTGTATTTTGGGAGTTTTATTTAAGACTCCTACGTTTCAAAGATATTCTTCTGTATGAGACAATTAGGTCTTTAATCTACCTGGATTCCACTTTTCTATGTGGTGTTAGGATGCAGTTTTGTTTTTTTTCTATGGAGGGATCCTATATTCCCAGCAACTATTGATTACTCAAGCTCATTTATTTCTCTCCTGATTGAGATGTTACACTTTTAATGTATTAGATTTGCATACTTTTTTGAAAACTATGATGCTCCATTGGAATATTTGTCTGTTTTTTCCCAAAGTACCATACAGTTTTATATTACTCTCTCTTTGTAATATAAAGTGATACCTGTCAGTTTCAGTCCCTGACATTTGCTTTTATTTTCAGAGGTTAATTAGTAGTCCAGTGATCTTTTGTCTTCCACATAAATATTAGCAAGAGTTTAATAAATTACTGCAAAAGATCCAGATTTATATCTTTTTGGGATTACATTTAATTTAGGTTAATTTGGGGGACCCAACTTTTTAGTTTCTCAGGAATCAGATGTGTCCTTTCTGTATGTAGATACAGGTCTCCTCTTATTTCTGGAAAGATGTCTTAACCTATAATTTCAAAGATTAATTCTGTTCCTTTGTTTTGTTTTACTTCTTCTGGAACAGAAATTATATAAATGTTATTATGTAAATGTTTCTATATATATAATCATAGAAATGTTTCTTTGCCCATCTTCAACTTCACTACTTTTCCTTAACTCTTTCGATTTCATTATTGTTGTCTTACTTATTTGCTTACCTTTCTTTAATGTCCCATATTAAATTCAAGTTTAAGGATATTCTACCTTGGAAAACTTAGTATTGAGGAAATTTGTTTTTTTTCTTGTATTTTTTTTCGCCTGATTTCAATCTTATTCTCTTCATATTTCTTTCCCTTCTTACTTTTTGAATTTCTGATTCAAGGAAATTTTTCAAAAACTCTGAGTGTTTGAGTACAGGTAATTCAGTCTGTGGTGGTGTGTTTTATTTTTCTTCAGTTTTCTTTGTGTGTTTATCATTGGGAGAGGGGTTCTCATTAGTTGAGGTATGTTGAATTTTGCAATGCTTCATAAATTTGAAATCCAAAATTTGCATTATTACGTGAAAAAACTACACAACATATCTAATGCTTTGATATATAAATTCTTCTAAGGAAAAAAAGTCTATCCTTTCAATCATAGCGAAATGCACATATGGAGTATTCAGTTCTCCTTTTCCAACATAAACATTTTGTATTGACACACAAAATAAATCTTAAGAAGAATCAGGTAAAATTTGATGTTTATGTCTAAGCTTCTTTAGGCTTCTAAAATATTATTTATTTGCATTTTAAATGACTATGCATCCTAGTTGTCAAAATGTCTTCATTCTAACATCAACGTATACATAGTGCATCACCACTAAATGACAAGCATTAGGCTTTATAAAGGAAATGAGTTCCTTAAGGGACCGTCAAGCTGTATCAAAATAGTAAGTGGTTTAAGGGCACAGAAAATAACCCAAAACATCATTTATTTTTATGAATTCGAATACATTTGTTCTGAATTTGTCTAACAAAGAGTTGCCCCTAATATGTAATGAAACTCACACAATGACAGCTATGTCCTAAGTGTCCTAAATGTTAATTGCTCGCTGTTGAGTAGCTCTTCCCTCTAGGGTAAACTATAGAAGTGACAACGGTAACAGTAAACCACCGAGGCTGGGGTGGGAGGTGAGGTTTTTGGACAAGTAACATCTGAACCCACATCCACATCCTAACTGAAACCAATTCTATGAAAGGGGAAAATAGATTTTGTTGCACAACTAGCCACTTCTGCCTGGTCAAATGCTCTAATCTCTCAAAGGTATTTGTTTCATTTTGTTTTATAATTACTTTTTAGGCTAGAGATGTCAGATTCTTCACAAACCCCCTTATAAGCAGATCTCTCTCTCTGTTTCTTTCTCTCTCTCTCTCTCTCTCTCTCTCACACACACACACACACAATAATATTTGCTAACTTCTTCTCAAGCAAAGCAATAAAATGATGAAATATTTTCCTTTAAAATTGGAAATGGTGTTCCAGCTATCTTATTCTGTACAAGAAATTCCCCCTCCTCCATCAAATTAGTGATATAACATTATCATGTATTGTGATCATGAATTCACTGGGTCAGGAATTCATAAAAGGCACAGTAGGAATTTATTACTCAGGGATCTCTTAAGCATTTGCGGTTAGATAGTGGCTGCAGAGGCAGCATTTGAAGACCTGGCTGTGTCTGGAGGATCCACTTCTAAGTCGCCTCACCCACATGGCTGATAAGTTGGTACTGGCTGTTGACTGAGGACATTAGCTCTGCTCCATCTTGGCCTCTTTGTGAGACTGCTTGAGTGTCCTAATGGCCAAGTGGCAGGCTGCCTCCAGCATGAGATATCCAAGAGGTTCAAGCAGAAGCTTCAGTGCAGTGTCTTTTAGAACTTACCTTCAGGAACCACACATCCTCACCTATGCCATATCTATTGGTTACAAAGAGAGAAAGAACGCCAATCTTTTCTCTTTCTTTCTTTCTCTTTCTTTCTTTCTTTTCTTTCTTTCTTCTTTCTTTCTTTCGTCTTTTTCTTTCTTTCATCTTTTTCTTTCTGTTTCTTTTCTTTTGACTGAGTCTTACCTTCAGGAACATCCTCACTTATGCCATGTCTATTGGTTACGAAGAGACAGAAATAACTCCAATTCTTTCTTTCCCTCTTTCCTTCTTTCTTTCTTTCTTTCTTTCTTTCTTTCTTTCTTTCTTTCTTTCTTTCTTTCTTTCTCTTTCTTTCTCTCTCCTTTTTTTTCTCTTTCTCTTTTTTTTTTGTTTTTTGACTGAGTCTAACTCTGTTGTCCCTCTGGAGTGCAGTGGTGTGATCTGGGCTCACTGCAACCTCCACCTCCCTGATTCAAGAGATTCTCATGCCTCAGCCTCCTGAGTAGCAGGGATTACAGGCATATGCCACCACGCTCAGCTTTTTTTCTTTTTTTTTGTATTTATGGTAGAGACGGGGTTTCCTCATGTTGGCCAGGCTGGTTTCGAATCACGACCTCAAGTGATCTGCCCGCCTCGGCCTTCCAAACTGCTGGGATTACAAGGGTGAGCTACAACACCCGGCCACAAAAAAAAAAGAAAAGAAAAGAAAAGAAAAAAAAATTGGTGCAAAAATAATTCCGGTTTTTGCCTTTTGTTATTGTTGTTTTTTTAAGTAATAGCAGAAACTACAATTACTTTTGCACCAACCTATAATGCCAATTCAATATGGCATTTGCAGTGGGGACCACCTTGGAAAATTGCTACCAGATATAGGTGAGGGAGACTGATCATCTTTGGCTACAGCAACTCTCAGAAGTACTGGGACCAATATGTTTATGACTTTCATTTGAGATAAGGACCCAAAGCTTGTTTGTAAGAAATATTTTTGGCCCATCAAATGTTAAGAAACATTTCTGAGAATCTTGATAACTCTTATTGAAGCTGTAATGGAAATGTCATTGACACCAAGGTCTTATTGACACCAAGGTTTTATCTTTCTGAAGATAAAAAACTGGATATTCTCTTGGATGGTAAAGGCGTTACAAAGGGTAAAGTCTACTGACTAGTATTTATCAAGATTTATATAGCCATATTTTAAAATTTTAATTACTTTAAATATGATATTAGTAATTATCTTAAAATTTGAATAAGATCACTGTTTTTCAGATTTTTCCTAAATGTTTAAAATTCACCTTGATAATATCAAGGAAGGTGATAATGATGGTGATCGTGTGATAATGTGCTAGAAACAGTGATGGTGATGATCTCAATATACCTGTGCAGTATTTTTAGAATAGAAAGCGATTCTCACTGGTATTATCTTTTCATCATAGTTTTGTGAGATAGATATTCCTCTTCATTTTACATATGAAAAACTATAGTCCAGAAAGGTAAAATAATTCACATATCATCAAACATTACTCAAATATTTCTTAACTGAAAAATTAGTTCCTAGTTTTGCAACACACAAAGTTTTCCTTCTATTAATATTATAAAGTATCTAAAATAGTACTCCTACTATCATTTTACATTTCTTTATTGTTAGCAAACATTCAGTCTTTACATTTATGATCTCATATTGATAGTCCAATAGAAGAAGAGAGATTGGTATTATTATCTCAGTGGTATAGGTGAAGAAACTAAGGAAGTGGGGAAAGAATTAATTCACTTGCCTAATGTCACTAAATGTAATAGCATACAAGTATAATTTGGTGTTCTGTGAATTAGTAGCAATGAAGTAATGATAAACAGCTCCACAGGCTTGTTCACTGTACAAATTCAGTAATTTTGATATATAACTCAATGGTTCAGTTCCTGCAGTGTTCTGTTTAAGATTCTTGGCTGCACAAATTTATCACCCAGCAATAATTTAGTTTCTGTAACTGAAGAGATTGCTTAATAGCAATTTCCCCACTTATCACTTTTTGATGAAAAATTAATAAAATAGATTATGATAATTTACTCTCTACCTTAAGCAATGAATAAATTACTATTTGTGTATCACTTTTGAGTTTGTAGTATTACTTTTCAGTTCCAAATATTTATAATTTTCAAAAGAATTTTGTGTGCTTCAACTTTTGGGGAGCATTGTATTACAAAACATTCCCAAATGATTTTATTGTTTATTGTTCAATAAAAATAGACTTTTAAAAGTGTTTTCTTTTCTGTGCAATTGCCTTTACAGTTGTTTGGCATTTTAAGTATTCATTGCATCAAGGGATTAGAGAATTAACAACCATAGGTTGTTAAAATAATAAATCTTAGTGACACATTTTGATTAAGAAGAGTAACAGAGGCTCTAGCACATGCTATATGGTACATTGGCCAATTCCCCCATCTTTATAACTAAGACATTTATTTCTTCAGCTGCAAGTTTGGTTGCTGACAATTCTCAGATCAACTTCTCTCTGGGAGTTGCCTTCCACCCAGAGAGCTTCCTTGTTCAAATCTATGCCTTTTGCTGGGGCACCCTGCATCCAATGACTGGTCACTTTGAGAGTAAAAAAGCCCAGACCCAACTTCAATTTCAGGGCCCTCCCAGCTTCAGAGTTTGTCATGAATATTCTGAGGACCCTGTTGCAAATGCATCATCACAATTTGACTTCTCTGTTCACAGGGCCACACATCTTCATAAATCTGCACATAGGACTCAAGTGTGGATGTTTTTTTCCCAACTGGTGGAATGGTACTGGAGCTCAACTTCTCCAGGTATTTTTTCCTGCCAGGGAGCTCTGTGATAGTCTATAACCTACAAGGTCCCTAGTTGTCTCAAAATCCGACAGTTGGCTATTCCAGAAAACTCTGTAAAGTGTTGACATTCTAAATCCAGATTTTCAAGCACCAAACACTCGTGTGTTTCAGCACTGATGCAACCATTTCCTCATATTTTTAAAAGGAAAACACCCAATGGTGGTAGTGGTAGGGCTTTACTACATTAGAACCTAGTGCAGACTTCCTGGTTGTGACATGAGGGAATGGAAAGATGGGGGACCCATAGGATCTCTGCCTGGTGACTCTTTGTTATGTGAGGTAACCTTTCTCTCACAAGGCCTATTCTCAAAGACATGCCAAGTGTCATGGAATTTATCTGGCTCATTGAACAGAGAGGACCCAACCAGCCTGACCCCTACCTAATTGGGTTATTTTCGGAATTGAATGATAAAATATATTTTAAAATTATTAGCACATGGAACTGGCACATGCTAAGTATTCAATAAATAATTGCTATTATAATTATTATTGTTAGTATTGCGTATGTAATTATTTTATTTCAGATTGAGACAGTTAACTCATTTAAGTAATAAATTTAAACATTGTGGGCCAGGTGATCTTACAGTCTATAGCAGTGAAAAAACACAAAAATCCTTGTTCTTATAGAACTTCAATTTAGTGACAAAGACAATAAACATATGTTAAATAAAATATAGAAAATGATAAGTGGAGATGAGTTCAAATGAGAAAATTATACCTTGGAAAGGGAACACAGAGTGCTTGAGCTTAGATCAGGGAGATACAAAGGGTTGGTTTTTTATTACTAATGTTGAATTTTTACGGGTACATAGTAGGTGTATATATTTATGGGGTATATGGGATATTTTGATAAAGACATGTAATATGTGACAGCCACATCAGGGTAAATGGAGTATCCATCCCCTCAAGCATTTATCCTTTGTGTAACAAACAATCCAATTACATTCTTTTGGTTATTTTTAAATGTATGATTAAATTATTTTTGACTACAGTCACCCTGTTGTGCTAGAAAATGCTGGGTCCTACTCTTTCTAATTATTTTTTGTCCCCCTTAATGATACATAATAATTATTATAATAATTTACTCTCTACCTTAAGCAATGAATAAATTACTATTTGTGTTTCACTTTTGAGTTTGTAGTATTACTTTCCAGTTCCCCATCCCCACTTCCCATCATCATCCCACAGCTACCCTTCCCAGCTTCTGGTAACCATCCTTCTACTCCCTATCTCCGCAAGTTCAATCGTCTTAATTTCTAGTTCCCACAAATAAATGAGAACATCCAAAGTTTTTCTGTGTCTGGCTTATTTCACTTAACATAATGACCTCCAGTTCCACTCATATTGTTGTAAATGACAGGATCTCATTCTTTTTTATGGCTGAATAGTATTCCATTGGGTATATGTACCACATTTTCTTTATCCATTCATCTGTTCATGAATGCATAGGTTACTTTCAAATCTAGGATATTGTGAATAGACCTGCAATAAACATGGGAGTGTCTCTTTGATACATTGATTTCCTTTCTTTTGGATATTTACCTAGAAGTCAGGTTTCCTATTCATATGGTAGCTCTATTTTTAGTTTTTTTAGGAACCTTCAAACTGTTCTCCATAGTGGTTGTACTAATTTACATTATCACCAGCAGAATATGAAGGTTCCCTTTTCTCCACATCCTCACCAATGTTTATTATTGCCTGTCTTTTGGGTAAAAGCCATTTTGACTGGGGTGAGATGGTATCTCATTGTAGTTTTGATTTGCATTTCTTTGATGATCAACAATGTTGAGTTCTTTTTCATAAACTGTTTGCCATTTGTATGTCTTCTTTTGAGAAATTTCTTTTCAGATTTTTTGTCCATTTTTTAATAGGATTATTAGATTTGTTTTCCTATAGAGTTGTTTGAGCTGTTTATACATTGTAGTTATTAATCCCTTGTCAGATAGGAAGTTTGCAAATATTGTCTCTCATTCTGTGTGTTGTCTTTTCACTATGTTGGTTGTTTCTTTTGCTGTGCCGAAGCTTTTTAACTTGATGTGATTCCATTTGCCCATTTTTTCTTTAGTTACCTGTGCTTGTGGGGTATTACTCGAGAAATCTTTGCCTATTCCAATGTCCTGGAGAGTTTCCCCAATGTTTTATTTTAGTAGTTTCCTACTTTGAGGTCTTAGATTTAAGTCTTTAATCCATTTCAATTTGATTTTTGTATATGGCAAGAGATAGCAGTCTAGTTTAATTGTTCTGCATATGGATATCCAATTTTTCCAGCTCCATTTATTGAAGAGTGTGTTCATTGTATGTGCTTTTCACCTTTCTTCAAAATGAGTTCACTGTAGATGTATGGATTTTTTTTGAGTTCTCTATTCTGTTCCATTGGACTATGTGTCTGTTTTTATGCCATTACCATGCATTTTGGTTACCATAGCTCTGTAGCATAATTTGAAGCCAGAGAATGTGATTCCTCCAGCTTTGTTCTTTTTGCTCAGCATAGCTTTGGATATTCTGTGTCTTTTGTGGTTTCACATACATTTTAGGTTCTTTCTTTCCTCTATTTCTGTGAAGAATGTATTGGTATTTGGGTAAGGATTGCATTAAATCTGTAGACTGCTTTAGGTAGTATGAACATTTTAATAATATTGATTTTTCCAAATGAACATGGAATATCTTTTCATTGGTGTCCTCTTTAAATTCTTGACTCAATGTTTCATAGTTTTCATTGAGAAGATCTTTCACATCATTGGTTAATTCCTAGGTATTTTACTTTATTTGTAGCTAACGCTAGACCTCACTTGAAGTCAGTACATCTCAGAGTCTCATTCAAGGTCCACGGTATACCCCCTGGGTATTGCTGCTGGTTATTCACGACCCAAGGCTCTTTAGTCAGCAGGCAATGGAACCTGGCAGGACTGGGAGCTTCCTTGCAAGGCAGTGGGTTCTCTTTTGGGCCAGGGTATGTCTAAAAATGTAATCTGGGGAAGGGCATAGTATGGGGGCCTCGTTACTCTGATCAGTGTCCTATCCTTCTGTAACTGAGCTGGCATCCAAGATGCAAATCAAAAGTCCTCCATACTCTTCCCTCTCCTCCTTTCAAGAGGAAGAAAGGGCACCTTTTGCAGCTGTGAGCTGTACTGCCTGGGGTTGGGGGAGGAGTGGCACAAGCTCTCCCTTAGCTGCCCTAGCTGGTGTCATAGTAAGTCACATGTCCCCCAGTTCCAAGTTGCAGTCCTTGTGGTCTCTCAAGTTTGTTTAGGACTGCAGAGCACTTCAGCCCATGGTGGCGAGGCTTGCATGAACTCCAGCTCTGGCCAATGGAATAGGCAAATCCTCTGTGGCTAGATGGTCTAGATGCTTCCTCTGCAGGTGGGTGTTAGCTGAGTTCAGCCCAGTTTTACTTTCTGCTATGATAGGGCTATACAAAATCTTACAATTGCTGCACTCTCCCCCACCCAAGTGCATAGATTCTCCCCAACACTACCCAGCTGCTATGGGAAGATGGGGGGAGGGGTGGCATTGGTGCTTTAAGGCTGTCTTTCCTACTTGCTTCAGTGCCTTTTTCAGCAATATGAAATTAAAACCAGGTACTGTGAGTGATCACATGATTTTTGGTTCTTATGAAGGTGCTTTTTTTGGTGTAGATAGTTGTTAAATATGGTGTTCCTGTGGAGGGAACAATCAGTGGAGCCTTCTAGTTCACCATCTTGCTCCCTTCCAGGAGGCATTTCCAAAGGTTGTATTTTTAAGTGGAATTGTCATGGAAGGATTCACTAATGCTGTGATATCAGAGCAACAACCCAATGGTGACAAGAATGAGTAAGGACTGAGGTTATGGATAAGAGGTAGAAGTGCTCCAGGTAGAAGAAACAGAATGCCTTTCACTTGCATGGTTTCTGTTGAGAAGGCTATTGTGTTCTTATCTTTGCCCTTCTTCAGTTACAGGAATTATTTTTTGTTGTTGTTTATTAGCTTCTTTCAAGATGTTCTTTTTGTCTCTGGTTTTGTGCAGTTTGGATATAATATGCCTAGGGCATTTCGTGTGTGTGTGTGTGTGTGTGTGTGTGTGTGTGTGTTTGAAATCTGTGCTTTGGTGTCTGCATTAATTTTGGAAAGTTATCAGCTGTTATAATTTAACAATTTTTTCTGTTATATTCTCTCTTGCATTCCTTGTGGTATTCCAATTATACATGTGTTACACCTTTTGAGATTGTCACATTTCTTGGATTTTTTTTGTTTGTTCATTTCATTTTTTTTTTCTTGCTGTATTTTAGTTTGGGAAGTTTCTATTGACCCACCTTCAAGCTAACTGATTTTTTCTTTAGCTATGTCCTGTTTGCTGGTGAGCTCTGTGAAGGCATTCTTTATTTCTGTTGCTATATTTTTTATTACTATCATTTCCTTTTGGTTCTTCCTTAGAATTTCCATCTCTTTGCTTACAATAACCATCTGCTCTTCCTTGGTATCTACTTTTACATTAGAGTTCTCAACATATTAATTATAGTTATTTTAGGTTTTCTGTCTGATAATTCTAACACCTGTGTTATATCTGACTCTGGTTCTGATGCTTGATTTTTCTCTTTAGTCCATATTTTGTCTTACCCTTTGACATACCTTGTAATTCTTTTTAAATTTAAATAATATGTATTGGCAAATAGAAACTGAGGTAAATAGGTCTTTTGTGGGAGGATTTATGTTGATTGAGAAAAACAGAATTGAGCTGCGTTTAATGTTTGTTGTAACCATCAGTGCCAGAGGCTTCAAATCCTCTAGTGGATGGTTGCTTTTGTCTCCCCTCTTGACTTCAGTTGTCCCTAAGTACCTTCAGACAGACACTGAGCCTTGTGTCTCTTCGGCCATAGCTCACTATTATTATACCATGTGTTTGCTGTTGGTGTGCTGGTAAACTGTGGGGGAGAGGAAACTTTCTGTTGTCTTATGATTACATCTGACCTTTTTAAAAGTGGGTTTATGTCTCTGGGCTATGACTTCATAAGTGTTTATCCCATGGCATAGTGCTATAGCATCCTAGTTATACCTTCTTTAACTGTTCTGTTAAGGGTTACTGTATATTACTAGAATTTAATAATCCTTAACTTACTCCATTCTTTAGGTTTACCACATCCAAATAAATGCTAGGATGTGTGGATACTTTAACTCCATTCACCACTGTCTCATCTATTCTGTAATATCATCATGCACTTTACTTCTTGTGATTATTGGCTTTATGTGCCAACTTAGCTAGGCTATAGCTACAGTTACTCAATAAAACACCAATTTAGGTGTTTCTGTGAAGGTATTTCATAAAGATAATTCACATTTACAATCAGCTGACTTCAAGTAGAGGAGGTTTTCCTTGATAATCTGGATGGGCCTCACCTAAGTAGTTAAACTATTTCTCTCTCTGCTTCTTTTTTTTCTGATACCTTTAGTAAAGACAACAAGAGCAGTTTGCTTTCAGTTGGCAACTCTAGGAAACCACCTTCATTGTCTTACCCCATGGGTATGTCAACTTTCCAACCCTGTGGCATAACTTAGTCCTCAGCAATCTTGATTATAGTTCTCTTCCACAAGACATCACACTGGTCCATTACATTGATGACATTGTATGTGGATTAGACATAGTGAACAAGAAATAGCAACTACTCTAGATTAATTGGAAAGATATTTGTGTGCCAGAGTCTAGGGAATAAACACACACACACACACACACACACAAATCAGAGAACATTTATCCAGTTAAACTTGTAGGGGTCAAATGGGACAGAGCATGTTACATCTGGCCCCTATTATGAAAAAAAACAAGGAACAATTCCTGGTGGGCCCCTTTGATTTTGGAGGCAATTTATTCCTCACTGGGTGTCCTACTTTGGTCCATTTCCAACTGACCCCAAAAGCTACTTTTGAACAGGGGCCCAAATAAGAGAAGACTACCATATGCATCATGTTGTCCATCAGATTTGATGATGTGTGAAGCGTCAGTGCCGGAGGGAGGTGCTGCTTGGAGATTTTTAGCAGGCCCCTTGGTGAATAGCAGTGCAGACTCTTCACATTTTGGGGCAAATTTCTGCCATTCTCGGATGATAAATACTCTCCTTTTGAAACAAAGCTTTCAGCTTGATTCTGGCCTTAGCAGAGACTGGATTTTAACAATCAGCCACCAAATTATCAGGCAACCTAATCTGGAGTAACTTTACTCCTAATTTCTCTGGTGTACAATCCAGTTCCTCATATCTATACCTGACTAAAACCTGATTTCCCAGTATCCAGGGCCTGATTGGTTCAATTTCTACAAACATTTCGCTCTAACCTTGGGGGATGGCATCACAGTTGCCTGGCTTCCTGGGATGCAGATGGGAATCTGACTGTCTCTGCCTTTTATATATGAATTTTCAACCAATTCTACTCTTTTGTTAAGTCCACTTCCACACGTCTTTTTTCAGGAACTGATAACTTGATTCTCATTGGAATTCTTTGGCAAATAATTAGACTAACTTTTTCTGCTATGTGATTTTTAAATGATTATTCTTTCCACTCTCTGTCTTCCAAAGATAATTGAAATTTTCCTATGCTCTTATTTCATATCTAATTGTCTTTTTCCTGGGAAGTTAATTTTTTTAATTCTTTTGTGACATTTTTATTGGGTTTGAAGATAAGTTAAATTCATGTAGTCAGTTCATCTTATTTAACAATGAGTCTGCATTAATTTTTTAAATGAGATTCTAGTGCCATTTCCAAAGTTTCCAAAACTTCTAATGATGAGATAATATCAAATGAGATAAATTAGAAAGCTATTAGATTTTTGTGACTAGTATAGTCACAAAAAGGAAAAGGAAAAGAAAGACATTTTCAGTTTTGTCAATGATTTGGAATATAAAAAGGAAACAATCTGGGTATTTTTCTTTGTGCTTTACAACATTTGGGCAAAATTTTCTCTTGGAGTTAGGTCTGTTTTGCTTCTCTTTCAGGATAACAGCCTGATGTTTGCCTTCACAATCAATTCCCATTCCTTTCCATTTGGAGCTGATAAATCTTCACTGCAAATGGCAAGTGAGGTCAAAGACATCCCAGGATAGAAGTCTTCAGTCTTCACCAGATGCAATTTGACACTCGGAAGCCTGGTGAGAAGGATCAGGCAGGAACCAGTGAGGGAATGGGAATCATTTGCTAAAAGTTGTTTGGTGATTTGGTTTAAGATATCGGTGATTTATCAGATCCTTGTCAGTTATAAATCTCCAGGAGCCTAAATGAATAAAAAACCATCTATATAGAAAATCAGAGTCAAGCCTAGAGGGGAGATTCTAGTCTACTAAAAATTTCTGTTTATAAGATCTGTCCAGTACTATGTTTTTATGAGTAACTGAGACTAACATATAGTAGGCGTGTTCTGGCAACATGGAACTAGAAGCCAAGATAAATATGTTTCAGGAGAGAATCAAAATTCATAATATCTCAATATGCTGAATTATGGGAAGAAGCTAAATGTAATAGACACATGTACTATCCTTTATGTTCTCAAAGTTCAAATTAAGAATGTCTACCATTTATCGATAGTAAAATGTTTCCAAGGTATTCCACAAAGCATACACATAAAATGTGTCTTTTAATCACAGCAATCCATTCAATAATGATTTTTTTGAGCACTTACTGTGAGCCAAACACTGTATTAGGTGCTTGAGATACATCAGTGGACAAAACAGATGAATACCTTGGCCATTGAGTAGGCCAAGAGGTGTGTGCCAATACTATTTTTCCCAGTTTTTGGAGGAAGAGGCAAGGTAAAAGATATTATGTAAATTACAGTTCTCAGAGCAGGTGTACTGATGCTAAGTGGATTCAATCATTTTTTTCTATCATGTAAGTTATATTTAACAAAAACAAAATAATTTGTAATGATAAAGAGGCAATGCAAAACACGTGTGAAATAGGCAAATATAATTGACAGTAGATTCAACATATGTTAATGCTTTATGAGGTTGCCAAGCATCTACAAAGGCAGTAATAAAATAATGGTTAAAAGTATGAGCTTTGAGATTAGACAAACTTGGTTTCAAATCTTGTTGCCTCATTAACTAACTGAATGACTTTGAGCAATTTGTTTTGCTTCTCTGGCTTCAGTTTCTTAAAATATAAAACAAATACATATCTTCAATTTTACAAAATAGTGAAAATTAAATGAGATAATATGTACTTAGCTTAGTTCCAAGTACATTATAATTGCACAATAAATGGTAGCTAATAACCTATGCCACACTGACATACGTATATTATGGAGCAAAAGAAGGCCTTAAAACCTTCATTTTATTATGCTGCTTAGAGGTATCAGAGGTTTTACATTTTGTTCTTAAATTTGCAGTTGAAAAGCTGTGAAGATAAATTTGAGATGCCTAAGGGAGAGAGCCTATGATATTGAAGAAAGAATTTGAATACAATTATCAATTAATTATGCAATGATAACAAAATGTATTGCAGGCACTGTACTCAAGACTGTCTCCTGAGGAATATTGTTGTAGCAAAGGTTGGTAAGCCTCAAAGCCCTCTATGAGTGAATATCATTGATGGCTTCAAACAACTGTAGGAGCAGTCATGTGAAAGATTTACCCCTTATGGTCCTAGGAGCGATATTAGGTATAAGGTGTTGAAACCACAGTCAAGCAGGCAATATAAGTTTGAACTTCATATCAGTTAAGTTGTCTAAGGATGAAAGATGGTATTACAAGAGTACATCATAAGGGACTTCTTGGACAGGTAAGGAAATTCAAGCATTAGGCATATGGTAGGCCAAGGTCCTCTTCTGGATCTGAGATGCTATGTTTCTGTGAAACAATAGAAATGTGTACATGTGACCAAGTCTGGCACTTCCAAGTATGATCAGATTCTCATGGACAAGTGCTTCTTGCTCTCGTAGCATGTTATACTTATGCATAACCCTAGCATTGTTCAAATCTTCTGAGAAGAAGGTGCTGAAATAAAAATATGAGTGCAAGAATGTTATCAAAGAGTGAGGTCTGTGAAAGGTCCAGGAGGAGGAAGCAAGATTGAGGATATAAAACTGTTAGCCAACAATGTAAATCTCTGAAAATAAAAGAGAGGAAAGAAAAATAGGCAGAAAAAGTCTGAGATGGTGAAGATCTGACAGTCTCAGCCAACTCAAATGAAAGTTCCAAAACAAACATTAGAAGAGCCCCATGTTGGGTAGAAACAGAAGACCCTACTACTCACCAACACCCTACCTCCAGCCCCTGTGCTCAGGTACTGGCTGATGGTTGCCGGGAAAGAGTGTGGTGGCCTCAGATCGAGCAGAAACAGCCCCTAAAGTTTCTGTAGCTGGAGGCTCCAAGCTAACTTCATTCCTCACTAAGGAACACACACTACTTCTTGAAAAGGGATTCAGGTGCCTTATGTCTATATCATCTACATCCCTATTACACCAGGCTAAAAATTTTGTTTTTACTTTCCTGTTTTCTTAGATGGGCTATAGGATAGTGGAATGTGCACACTGTGTTTAAATCTCATTATCTCCAGCACATATTCAAATGTTTGTAGAGGCTCAGTGCTCATTAAATTAATGCATAAATATAGGCGGAGGTGTTTGGAGAGCTATGAAAGAACTGAAAAACTTGTCATACTCAAAAATAACAACCGATCAACCTCTTGACCTTAAGAAACTTCCGGTAATATACACTTTAAACCAAATTGGGTAAGATTTTAATAGCCAGGATTGCTTATGTATTTAGCTAAGAAATCTCTTTCTACACACATCATCTTCTACTAGAAAGCAGTGCCTTAAAGGAAAGAGAAGCCGGGGAGGTGACAATGGAGACAGGGAACTGAGAGAAGATTGACACTGTGGCTGCCAGAGATGATGGGGGAGGTAGAATGGATCACTGGTGGAAGGTGTAGGATCATAGAATGGCAGACAAGATTTGAGCCAGGTGTCTTTTCTTTTTTGATGCCTCCAGATCACTCCTCGAACCTGTTCTCTGCCCCAGGAGGTTGAGGTGTCTGATCTATAGCCATGAATGCCTGTGCCCTCGACTTTGAGTTGGGCAGTGTAATGGTTATTTTAATGCATCAACTTGACTGGGCTAAAGGATGACCGTAAAGTTGATACAGCATTATTTCTAGGTATCTCACTTTCTTTTTCAATGAGTTCATATTCATTGCTGTGAAGGTCAACACCTTCTGACTTTATCTTTTCACTAAAGTATATCTTTGCTACCTCCCTAGACTAATTTATAGACACCATCTGTTAAATTCTGACTGATACTAAAAAATTAATGGTTGAAAATAAATAAACATTTTCAAATCTCATGGTAATGTCAAATTTTCGGTGCTCTCATATAGTGAATATCAGTAGAAATAAGTGACAGAAAATTACCTTAATGATCTCCTGGTGTCTTCCTGCCCTGCTTGATACATGGGGCATGCGTGATCAAATAAAGAGCAATAGAGAATTCAATAAACAGACCCTCTCAAAACTGAAGCTCATTTGGTCTGTCTGACTGTTATGCACCTATTATGTTAGAAAACATATTCTTTAAAATTTTTTTCTATTCATCAAATGTCATTGAGAGCATTTCTATAAATTATTTACCAGGGAGGAAAGAACAGCTCATTTATTTTTATAAAACATACTTGAAGAGAAATCCTGTGATAAATTTCAGGGAAAGCAGAGAAAATAAAGAGGAAAAAATGTTCATCCTACATGCATACAACCTCAGCTATAATACTTCTGAACAAAAGGCAATTTAATAGGAAACAATAGAATCTTTACTTTCTATCTACTAATCTATGTATAGCTGCCTATACTTAAATATGTGGAGATAAAGCTATCCTAGAGAAAGAATTATACAGATTTTAAGCAAAATTTATAGGATACTCAAGTGAGCTGGGTTCAAAATAAAACAGTTTCTTATCCCTAGACCCCTTCAGTAAAGAATCTCAAATTTAAAAATGGCCTAGGACGCCATCAGTAAGCATAGCCTCAGGATAAAGATTTCAAGGCTGTGGATAAAAGACTATTTATTGAGTTTTCTGAAAGATTTATATCATGCCTATTTGGGCTTCTAAGAGTAAGTATGAGCCTTGTATGTCCTCTAACATAGAGAAGAAGAGATTTACTAAAAATATTAAGAGTGTGGATTACACATATTTTAGACTAGACAAAGAGGTTTTTAAGAATCTTGATGATGTTGTTCCACAAGACTCTGTCAGCATAATCCACAGAACAACTTGTGTTGAAGATTATTTGTGGGGGTGGCCTTTGTCTGACAGAATGTAATGAAATAAGATGCATAGTAAAACTCAAAAATATTCTATTAGAATTATATTGGGAGAACGACCATCGATTTAGAAACATTTTTAAATACAAAGAGCTGTCAGAATCCCCTGGTTCTTACAGGAAGAAGCTCAGATTATTACTTAAATTCAAATACAGCTGTAGTTTCTATGCATTGAGAGTGGAATGTGCTCTATCTTCTTATAAGGACACAAATCCTATTGAATCAGAACGCCACCTGTCTGATCTCATTTAACCTTAATTACCTCTTTAGAGGATTCCTCTTCAAATTAAATCACACTGTGAAGCAGGGCTTGAACATATACATTTTTGGGAAGACACAAACACTCAGTCTATAACAGCTATTATTTTTTATTATTCTTACTTTTTTCCCTCTAAAAAAGTGTTCTAGGTTTGATGATAAGTTACATGATCACTTAAGGTATATGCATACTTAAATTCTCTAAGTCGTGTTAGACTACTCTCTAAATAGACAATTGGACCTTATACACCTATCAAAAGTGCTTGATGCTCTTAGGACTTCTTATCTGACTTTCTAGGTTTGCCATTCTTACAGGTTATAACAGGCATATTTAGAACTAAACCTCATGTCTGTTAATTTATAGGATAGTCCTTTCTGACAATTTCCATTTAGGATAATTTCCATTTAGAGCTGAGTGGTAACGATTGTAGTCATTCTAAGAGTTAGTCTTCTCAGGTATTAATATGAACCCTCCATGTACCAAGTTGTTAATATACTGCACTCAGCAACTAATAAATGAGATCTATTACTATGGTGTAAAACAGAAGAAAACTGTTTTAGTGGAACCAATATCTTGCAACTGTATATTTTGAGCAAAGTACTGTTTATAAGCCTGTGATTTTTGTACCCATAATGAGGGATATTAACATGTACCTGGTAGAGAGTGTTAAATGAAGTCATATAGGGGAGTGCTGATGGGTTACATTGTCCATAAATGTGGATTCTCTAATCTCTGTCTGGAACATCTTTTATTGACTGCAGGAGAATGAATGACAACCTTTAACACTTCGCTTCTGGCTATTCGTTCTCTGATCTTCATTTCCAGATTGCTTTTTTTCCTTGCTAAGAAATTTTTAGTTTTCTGCCTTTAAAAAAATATAGCTTTGATTCATGTTTGTTTTCTTCAATTCCAAGGCAACTTGAGGGCTTTAAATCATGTACAGTTGGGGACTGAGTATGTGGTAAAGGAAACAGCTGCACTGACTGCTCTGGAGCTAAGCTTCTCCTGGGGCTGAACCCTGTCCTCAGACTCAGAGTTAAATGTTTCCTTTGCTATTTGGATAATCAGATGGATCAAACTTTCTTTTACACTTACTGTCAAAAAGACATAGCTTTCTGGTAAACCAGATACCCTTAGTGGTGAAATGAACTGTGTCTCAGGAGGAATGGACAGCAGGAAAGGACAATAGGAGCTGGAAGAAAACGAGAGTGCAGAGGGGTGGCCAATGGGAAGGGTTTCCTCAGGTGCTGTCTGTCACATGCATGTGAAGCTGTGCAAGGACCTCTGCAAAATGCCTTTGCCCACCTAACATCTGGGACCTGGCAAGATTATCAGTGAACTCTTATCATCTCTGTCAAGTGCCTTTCAGCAATCTTAAAAACAATTTTCTCCTGTCGATTTTCATCCTAGTAAAGGGCCTTTGAAATGAAAATGCACAGCTGAAAATTACCACATATTGCTAGAGATGAATGATCAGTTTTAGAAAAACAATGATTGCTTCCTTATAAATTTGTGCAAGCAACCAAATCTAATAATATGGGGCATTAATGGAGATTGGTTTAAACAAAAGTAACAGCTTTGCTTGCCTTAGCTTACCCAATTTATGTTTAGGACCTGCCACATCGACCATACCCACGATTCCACCTTCTGATATAAACCGTTTGTCAGCTTCTGAAAACCCAATATAGAAAAATGATGGTTATTTCCAACAACATGTACATTTGAAGTTTTTTGTTACTATTTATGCCAGAATGAAACACATATGTAACTTTCCTTGTTTTTTCCTCCTTGTACATTCCTGGGTTTTGAAATTTTGAATAAATCACCACAGGAGAAGTTTAAAAATTGCTATGGTTTTAACAGCTTTGCTCTTTTTTCTTTAACCTGATTCAGTTTGTTTGTTGGAACTGATTTATTTGAATTGGTGAGTTTTATTGATTTTTTTCATGCCTGATTTAATTCAATCAAATTGCCTTGTTCCAAGTTGTGTAAATGAGTTTTATTTTCTAACCCAATTAGGAAAAGCTTATAGGATGTTGTTCATGTAAGAATTGGAGAATAACCAATTTGTTTTCTACTAGCTGAAGCTATATATATATATATATATATATATATATATAAAATCCTCGTGGCACAATCCCTAATGGTACAAATACCTGTGCCTAAATACAAATACCTGTGCCTAAAATATCTCAGAATTAATGATATATTTAGGGAATGGTGAATCATAAAAAATGACTAGTCGAAGTTACATGCATTATAGGATTTACTCTATTGTAAGAGCTAGACATCTGGGTAGTGACTCAAGATATAAGAGTCAGCAGGTCTGATCCTCATCACCATAAAGTCAGTCCTAACATTTTCAGTGCTTCCAAAGGCACAACCTGGATGAAAAGTCTTTTCTGCTTCTTGCCACCCCACAGTCCATGCAGATTCCACAATGTCAACTTTACCTTGATCATGCTCATAGAAAATGTCAGGTATTACAATGCTAGCGGAAAACTCCATTATGATAAAATCTATTTCTGCATCCTATATATGCGGTTTTGTCTGGATATTACATAACAACCTGCCTTTGATTAATGTCAAATGTTTCAAAAAATATTTTTCAGATATTTTGGTACATCTTTACAGCTGGGTAAAATAATGACTTACCAAACTTGTCCTGATTCATATGAAAATTTTTAGTTATGAAACAAGTGTGTTTCATCAAAATGATTTTATTGGATTTTGTGTGAAGGCATGCTCACGGAGTAAATCAGTGAATTACATGGAAACACACTGGGTATAATTTTTTTCTTTAAATGAACAGATCTCTATTATTGTGTAATAACTTCATCTTCTATTTTATTCTCAAAATGAAAGTACTCAAAGAATTTTATATACCTATCATTGTTATAGATGTTAAATATATATATCTATATCACATTGATTTAAGCATCTCTTAAAAACTTTTTGAGCACTTTTAATCAACTGGAAAATGCCAGGGGATTAAATTGTGTATTTCACTAGTAAGTGCAGTGATTTCTCATGAGGTCCTGAAAACCTCTAAATAATAGCCAACATAAATTTAAGATAGAAGGTAAAATGCCTTGCATAAATAATACATTCTTAACAATTTTGTATGAGTCATTTGAAATAAAGTGTGTGCAATGGTATTATTCTCTGATGTAACCGCCTTACTTTGCATGAAACTAAAAATTAAATCATCTATACTGCAATTAACATATCTAAGTCAAATTTCCTGACTGTCATACAGCTCTGCGTTACCAAATTGAAATACATATGTAAAGATAGTCCCCCTTTCTTTAACTAAATATTAATGTATCAATCAATTTCATTGAAATTATTTTCTTAATTGGTGTAAGGTTTATTGACTAAATCAAAAATATGATTGATATTTTTTGGTGCATACAAACTGTATCATACAGATCTCTGCCCATTTTCTTGCTTTCTGATAGGCACCATTCTTTTTCTTTAAGTGTATGTTCTCTTGACCAGTTCTAACTTTTTATTTACTTCTGAAACAAATTTGTTATTGTCTTTGTTCTGTTTCCTGAGTTCAGTCACTTTATTCCCACATTTTTAAAAATTGATTTTCCTTCTTAGTTTTTGAATTTTTAATTCCAAGTGGTTTGTAATACCCTCAAACCCATGTTTGTATATATTTAATTCAGTGTGAAACATTGTCTTCTCTTCTGTCTCTGTATCTGTCCATTTCCTGATTCATGCTTGCTTTTCTAGGGAGAGTTTTCCTCAGTTATGAGTTAATTTTTCTTCTCTGATGTTTTTTGAAATAAGTCTTTATAGATCTACTATTTTCTTATTTATTGTTGTGAAATTGAATCATTTTACATGATTTCCAGTTTCATGGTATCCTCTTCTGTCAAAAAATTTATTTTTCGTTTGTTGATGAAGGGAAAGATTTTGCATTCTTCAAATGTTTTGGTTTTCTTCTGTTTTCGGGCTGCAGAGTTTCCCTCTGGGCTACTTTTTCCCTTCACCATTCTGTTTTCCTTTTGACAGCCCCCCACCCAGGCCCCAAATGTTGTGGTGCAAAGATCATTCGTTCAAAACACATTTATGGATAATTCCCTTTTCTGCATCCTTGTCCTTATTTACCAGGATCCCTTTGTATTATTCTCAGACTTAGGATGGATTTAGTATTTATAGCACTAATTTGAGATCAATTTTGGATGGCATTGCTAGCCTGCTTCTTCTCATTTACTGGCAGTGCTTTTTGTTGATCTTTGTTTGCTGCAAAGTGATGGGCCAATGACAGTTGAACAGGAGCATGAGAGATTATGGATTAGAAATGGTTTTATTCCTTTTTTTACTTAGGGTTATTTGGAATTTACACATTCTATGTCTTTGAATTATTCTTAGGACATGAGTTTTGTGTCATTTAATTTTGTTCTTTACCATTTTGTGTTCATGGAGAAGAAAACGTTGGGAGATGAGGACCTAGGCAGTAGATACTCGTGTCTTCCTAGTAACATTAACTTAAATGGTCTGCTTCTATGGACATTTAGGTGTTTCCTATGGCACAATAGACTCTGACATCGTAACAATTGCATGCATGTGAGTATATCTGTATAATTAATTTCTGGAAATAAAACTGTTGGCTCAAAGTATCTAAATTTGTAACTTTTATAGATACAGGTTGAGCATCCCTAATCCTCAAATTTGAAATGCTTCAAAAATCTGAAAGCATTTTTGAGCATCAACATGGTGCCACAAGTGGAAAATTCCAGACTTGACCTCATGTGACAGATTACAGTCAAAATGCAGGCACACGATGCACAGTTTATTCAATGTCCCCAAATGAAAAAAGACCCTACCAGCCCCTTCATCTGATATACATGTTTTCCAAATGCCTTACAAAGGGTAATTTAAAAAAATCTGTTTCCTGCACAAAATTATTAAAAATATCATATAAAATTACCTTCAGGCTATCTATATAAGGTGTGCATGAAACAAGCATAAATATTTTTGTTTAGGCTTAGATCCCATCCCTAAGCTATCTCATTACATATATGCAAATATTCCAAAACCCAAAAATATTCTATATCTGAAACACTTCTGATCCCAAGCATTTTGGATAAGAGACGTTCACCCTGTATTGCCTAATTGCCCCTTATTGCCAATGGGACAATATATATTTCTACTGGGAAAATATGAAAATATCTGTTTTCACACCTTGCCAATGTACTATGACATTTTGAAACATTTCTCAGCCTGATATTTGAAAGATGGTATTTCAGTACAAATATTTTGTGCATTTCCCTTGTTGTGAGTGAAATTGAACATCTTTTCATATGATTAAGGGCCATTTTTGTTTCTGTGGAATGGCTGTTGATGAATAGTATTCTTAAAAAGTTTAGATTCTTAAAAAATGTTTTCTTAAAAAACATTCTTAAAAAATGTTTATCTAAACATTGTCAGTGTATAGAGACATAACCAGTATACTGAGTTTTTAACGATCAACTTTGATCAACTCTGCTATTATTTCTCAAAGTTGTAAATAGAGTCTTTAGAAGGTCTCTACTGATATCTTTAAATAACGCCATTTTTGCTTACTGTTTGTTTTGTTTTATCTCTATACCTTAAATTTTTGTTTATTCTTCTTGTCTTATCACACTGTAAGGATCTCCAGCAACATAATTAATGGAGTTGATAATACAATTCTTTCATCTTTGTCTTATTATCAACCACAAAGGAAAGATTTTCAGTGTTTTGGTATTAAACATGAAATTTATTCTATTTTTTATAGAAAACTTTTCAGCAGATTCAGGATTTTCCTTCTATGCATACTTTGTTAAGGGATTTTGCCATAAGTGATACAGATCCTTAATGCTTCTTCTGCACCTGTTATAATAATTAAATTATTTTTCTTCTTTGATATTTTAATGTGGTGAATTATATTGTTTTCTTATTATTAATCAACAGGCACAATGGCTACTTGGGAGGCTGGGGCAGGAAGGTCATGTTAGCCCAGGAGTTCCAGGCCAGCCTGTGTAACATTAGAAAAGCATCAGCTCCAAATAAATAAATAAATAAATAAACACACAGTTACATTCACTGACAGAAATAGCATTTTATAAATAATTATAAAATATAAAATTATTTATAATTTCAATAAGAATTATAAAATTATTTATAATTTCAATAAGAATTATAAAATTATAATTTCAATAAGAATTATAAAATTATAATTTCAATAAGAATTATAAAATTATAATTTCAATAAGAATTATAAAATTATAATTTTAATAAGAATTATAAAATTATAATTTTAATAAGAATTATAAAATTATAATTTTAATAAGAATTATAAAATTATAATTTTAATAAGAATTATAAAATTATGTATAATTTTAATAAGAATTATAAAATTATGTATAATTTTAATAATCTGTAAATGATCCACTTATAAATAAAACCTTATTGAAAACAAAGTATTAAAATAAATGGTGATATACTGTGTTTATTAATATTTATATGCTATTCATTTGCTACAAAATGATTACTTCAATGCTGTCCCAATTAATATTCCAGCATTGATACATGTGTGAGTATGCATGTTTCTGTGTGTATGTGTGATAATTGACCAGCTTATTTCAAAAGTATGTAAGCAAAGAAAGCATGCTGATTCTCCAAAAAAAATCATATAGCAGAATAATCAAGTTGGAAGAGTTACACTGCTAAACATCAAAACTCTCTGTAAAGCTACAGTAATCAAGACAGTGTGGTACTGCCATAGGGATACACAAATTGACCAGTGAAACAGAAAAGAGTTCTAAAGAGACCCAGGACAGGTGCAGTGGCTCACACCTGTAATCCCAGCATGCCGGGAGGCTAGGGGGAGGATCGCTTGAGCCCAGAAGTTCAAAACCAGCCTGGGCAAAACAGTGAGACCTTGTCTCTACACTTAAAAAAATTAATAAATACATTAAAAGAGACACATACATATTTTTAAACCAGATTTGCAACAAATGCATTACTGCAATTCATGAGAAAGAATATTATCTTTTCAATAAATTATGTCGGGTCAACTCAGCATCTGTATGGAAAAACTAAACTTCACCCCAACTTATACATAAAAATATTAATTAAAAACGTATCATATCAGGAGATCTTCTAGCATGAGAGTGTGAGGCACCTCACTGAAGTGTTCCCCTATGAAACTGGTTACAATTATAAACAAAACGATTATTTAAAGCTTCTAGAAATAGTCCCAAATGACTAGAAATAGTCCCAAAGCAGCAAATAAAAAAATATCTATTCAAGATAATCTTTGAAAATTCAGTAAGAAAGCCTGGAGCCTGTGGTATTTGGATCAGGACTTCACCCTTCCCCCACCTCCTGGCTTAGCAACATGGAGACTCCACTCCCAAGAACGCAGAATTTCTTTCCTCATCAGTGCAGGAGCCATACGCTCTTGGCCCCCTAAAGATTTGCTAAAGAATCACTGACATGAGGTAAGTTGATTAATAGGAGAAAAGGAATACACATTTATTTAACATGTATACACAGGAGCCTTCAGAATGAAGACCCAACTTCCCAGTGAGTTACAGAAACATGCATACTAGGCCACAAGAAAGAATGCAGATTCAAAAAATGGCCAGAAACAGGTAAATAAGGTTTAGTGGCAACACAGGTTAAGAGACAGAGAAAGGAAGAAGCTTGTCTAGCAAAGGTGGACTTGTTAGATAGATGAAGCCTCCTTTAGAGATGGTAAATGTTTCTTTTCCGATTTTTAAAAGTGTCAGACTCTCTATCACTCCTGGATCTGGGGAAAGGCATAGAAAGTGGAGGAGTTATGGCTGTGCTAATGGAGATTCTCTACTGATGCAAATTTTCTCCACTGAAAACAGCTTTGCAAGGCCACTTCCGCCAGGATGACCAACTGGCAGCCATTTCAAAATATGTCAAAGAAATATATTTTAGGGTAAAATATTTTAATTTCCTTCACTAGATTCCAGTCAGATAACTTCTTTCCTCGGAAGAGTAGGACATCAGCTTTTCTTTTTTTTTTTTTTTTTTTTTTTTTGAGACGGAGTCTTGCTCTGTCGCCCAGGCTGGAGTGCGGTGGCGCGATCTCGGCTCACTGCAAGCTCCGCCTCCCGGGTTCACGCCATTCTCCTGCCTCAGCCTCCCGAGTAGCTGGGACTACAGGCGCCCGCCACCGCGCCCGGCTAATTTTTTGTATTTTTAGTAGAGACGGGGTTTCACCGTGTTAGCCAGGATGGTCTCGATCTCCTGACCTCATGATCCACCCGCCTCGGCCTCCCAAAGTGCTGGGATTACAGGCGTGAGCCACCGCGCCCGGCCCAGCTTTTCTTATCCTACTCTCAGTTACCTATTGCAGAGGCTAAGTCCTGAATGACTGCAGTTGAGAAGTGGAGACTTCCTTCTTTTGCCCAACCCACACTCATGGAATAGAGACTCTACCTCTTGCATGGCGGGCTGAGAATACTGGGGCCCTGCTAGTTGGTTCCATGTTAGGAGAGACAAGCCAAAAGGATCTTAGGCTGCTTCCCTGACTTCCATTGAGTGTGCAGCATCTAGAGCACAGATTTCACTCTGAGAAAAGTGTGCCACTGTCCCCACTCCCAGTTCTATAGCCCTGGTTCAGAAATTTTGCCTATGGGAGAAACAGATCATAAAACATAGTTCCCTATCTCTTCCTAAAAGAACTGTATTTGCAACAGAGCATAAGTAAATTCCAAGCTAAAGGCACTCTTAAGAACAGTGGATATATACACGGTGAAAGGCAATTGGAGAGATAGTCAAGATAAAGGCTAAATGACAGACAAACAAGTTTTTGGGGAAAAATGGGAAATAAGACGACTGAGAGGAGCCCTCCTGGGGTCAGAACAAATATTAGACTCAGAAACTACTTCTTCAAAGGGGCCAGAAGTTGATTGGTTTACTTTGTAGAACAGTTTATGTCCTAGAATGTTGTTGAAAACAGTAGAGCAATCAGTTGGCAATTAGTGGAGTTTAACAGCTGAATGTGGTCAGAGAAAGAGAAGAAAGCCTTACCAAAATTACCACCATATTTGGCTATGGGTATATTCATATTTGTACCTCTCTGAGGAGAAATATCAGAGTCTTTACACTGTGTGCTGGGGTTGGGAATGAGAGAGAAAATAAACTTCACTAAAATAATCCAGATATTCACTAAACAAATAAACAATCAAATAACAATAATACACCCAGAAGAAGGGCAGCAGTATTCCGAGTGGCTGCAATATGCTATTAAAGATGTCGAACTTCAAACAATAACAACAAAATGAGGCATGTCACTCAACAGGAAAGTACGACCCAGATATGGGTGGGGGAAGGGGGCAAAAAGCCAATAGAAACTAATTATGAGACCAATCAAATGTCAGATTTTTTCAGAAAAAGACTTTGAAGTAGTTTTTATAAACATATTCGTAGAACTAAAGAAAACCACGATTAAAGAAGTGAAGGAAGGTATGATGACAATGTCACTTCAAGTAGAAAATGTCAACAAAGAGAAATTATAAAAAGGAACCAAATGGAAATTCTAGAGTCAAAAAGTAAAATAACTAAAACAAATAATTAACTAGAGGAGTTTATATTAGTTTGTTAGGACTTCAATAACAAAATACCACAAACTGGGCGGCTTAAACAACAGAAGTTTACTGTCTCACAGTTTTGGAGGCTAAAAGTCTGAAATTAGGTGTTGGCAGGATTGGGGTTTTTCTGAGTGCTGGGAAGGAAACATGGTTTTGATTTCCCTAGCTTCTGGTTCTTTGCTAGCGATATTTAGCATTACTTGTAATTGTGGGACCTCGACCTCCACTTTCATCTTCATCTGGTGTTCTCCCTGTGTGTGTCTATCTTAGTGTACATGTTTTCTTTTTTTGTAAGGCCACCAGTCCTATTGGATTTAGTCGACCCTAATGAGCACATTTTAATTTAATTACTTTGAATACCTTGTCTTGAAATAAGCCCACATTCTGAGATATTAAGGTTTAGAAATTAAACATATATTTTGGAGAAACACAATTCAACCCATAAGAGAGCTCAGTAGCAGATTTGAACTGAAAGAAGAAAGACTAAGTGAACTTGAAGATACATTGATAGATTGATCAAGATTACACAAGCTGAAGAGCAAAGAGAAAGAAATAAAGAAAAATGAACAGAGCCTCAGACAAATGTGAAAAACCACTATGTGCACCAACATATGCATAATGGAAATCACAGCATTAGAGGGGAGAAAGAAAGGAGAAAAATCTATTCGAATAAATAATGGCTGATAACTTTCCAAATTTATTAAGAAACAACTATAAGCAAATACAGGAAGTGAAACAAAGTCCATTGTATCATTCTTAAGCCTTTGCATCCTCATAGCTTAGTTCCCACTTGTGAGTGATAATGTGATGTTTGGTTTTCCATTCCTGAGTTACTTCACTTAGAATAATGGTCTCCAGTTTCATCTGGTTACTGTGAATGCCATCATTTTTTTCCTTTTTATTTACACCATGGAATACTACTCAGCCATAAAAAGGAATATATATATAATGTGATATAGATCACAATCTTTTATCTAATCATTGATTGATGGGCATTTGGACTGGTTCCATAGTTTTGCAATTGTGAATTGTGCTGCTATAAACATGCATGTGCAAGTATCTTTTTCTTATAATGACTTCTTTTCCTCTGGGTAGATATCCAGTAGTGGGATTGTTGGATCAAATGGTAGTTCTACTTTAGGATATTGTTAACCAAGAATCTTATTTAACAATGCTATCTTTCAATAATAAAGGCAAAAAATAATACTTTCCCAGATTACAAAAAGAGATAAAGAACCACAACCAGAGAATTTGTTTTAGCTGACCTGCGTTACAAGAAATACTAAAAAAAGTTACTCAAGCTAAAAGCAAATGACCCTAGATAGTAATTCATATTCCCACAAAACAACAACAACAACAACAACAAACACAGAGAGCACTGGTAAAGGTAATTCTTCTCTGAATTGGTTGAAAAAGCGATTGTGTCATTATGTGTGTTCTGTGAGGTGTGTTGGAGCAAAGCTGTATTAGGCTGAGGAAATAACTACAGATGGTGTTGTAGTACAGAAGTAATAATTATACAGAAGTACTGCAGAAGTAATAATTATAAGAATTTAATATTGCGCTTGTAACATTAAGACATGTAATATGTGTTAAATATATGTAATATGTATTAAATATAAAACCGTAAAAGGGAGAAAACGAAATAGAATTATACGAGTAGTACCTTTATCATAGAAATTAATCTAGTATAAATCTGAGGGTGATCTGGTAAGTTAAGATGAATATAGTAAAACCAAGAGGAATCACTAAAAGATGACTTAAAAATACAATAAAAATGATTAAATAAATTAAAATGCTACATAAGAAAATGTTCACTTACTGTAAAAGAAAGCAGTAAAGGAGGAACAGAGAAACATTAAAACCATGAGCTAAATAGAAAACAAAAATTGGCAGACACTTTTAACTATATCAACAATAACATTAAATGTTAGAAACATTTGTACACAAATATTCCTAACAACATTATCTGTAGTAATCTAAAGATGCAAAAAACCTAAATCTCCATCAATTGATGAATAGACAAACAAATGTAGTATATCCACATAATGGAATATTATTCAGGCATTTAAAACAGTGAGGTACTGATACATATTCACTCTTTTTTTAAAATATGAGTGAACCTTAAAAACATTATGCTAAGTGAAAGAGCCAGTCAAAAAGACCACATGTGATGTGAATCAATTCATACGAGTAGTTCAGATTAGGGAAATCTTTAGAGAGAGATAAAGTAGATGGTGGAGAATTGGAGAATGGGGGATGAAACATATTTTATAGAGTTATTTTTAGGTGATGAAAAATTAAAATATTGACTATAATTATGGTTGCACTTATGTGTGAATGTACTTTAAAAACTATAGAATTGTACCCTTTATTTTCAATTGTCAGATAACATTATATTTTATCTTCTACAATACAAACTTTTGAAGTATGTATATGTTGTAGAATGATTAAAGCTAGCCAATTAACAAATGCATTACCTCACATAGTTATTACTTTTGTGCTGATAGCACATATAGTACCCACTGTTTTATATGTTTTTCAATACTACTATATATTGTCATTAACCATAGTCACTTTGCTGCACAATAGATCTCTTGAAATTTATGTTCTCTAACTATTATGTATCCTGTGACTAATGTCTTCCCATCACCTGTCCCCTAACTACTGCCACCTCTGATAACCACCATTATGCTAATTTTATGAGATTCGATTTTTTAGATTCCATGTATGAGTGAGTTCATTGCAGTATTGGTCTTTCTTTGCCTGGCTTATTTCACTTAAGATAGTATAACCTCCATACTGTTTTCTGTAATGGCTGTATTAATTTACATATCCACCAATAGTGGATAAGTGTTCCCTTTTCTCCACTTCATTTTAGCACATGTCATCCTTTATTTTATTGATAATGGCTATTCTACTGGGATGCAATGATGTCTCATTATAGTTTTAATTTGCATTTCCTGATGATTAAAAAAGTTGAGCATTTGAAAAATATACCTTTTGGCTATTTGTATGTCTTCTTTTGGAGAAATGTACATTCAGTTCTTTTGTCCATTTTTTAAATTAAGCTATCTATTTATTTATTTATTTATTTATTTTAATTTATTTATTTTTTGCTTTTGAGTTATTTGAGTTTCTTATATATTTTGGATGTCAGATGTATGGTTTGGAAATATCTTCTCCCATTCTGTAGGTCATCTCTTCACCCTACTGATTGTTTCTTTTGCTGTGTGAAAACTTTTGTTTGATGTAATCTCATTTGTCTATTTTTGCTTTCATTGCCTGTGCTTTAGATCCTCATACAAAAAATTATTACCCAGACCTATGTCATGAAGTGTTTCCCCTATATTTTCTTCTAGTAATTTTATAATTCAGGACATATATTTACATCTTTAATCTATTTTGAATTGACTTTTCTATATGGCGAGAGATGAAAGTCCAATTTCATTCTTCTGCATATGGATATGTAGCTTTTCCAACAGCATTTATTGAGACTATTTTTTCTCCAGTGTGTGTTCTTGACATCTTTGTCAAAAATAAGTTGGCTGTAAATGTGTATATTTATTTCTGGGCTCTCTATTCTGTTCTGTTGGTCTACGTCTCTGTCATTTATGTCAGTACCATGCTGTTTGCATTACTATAGGTTTGCAGATATTTTGAAGTCAGGTAGTATAATGCCTCCAGCTTTGTTCCTTTTGCTCAAGATTGTTTTGGCTATTTGGAGTCTTCTGTGGTTCCCTAGAAATTGTAAGATTGGTTTTTCTATTTCTGTGAAGAATGTAATTGGTATTTTAATAGACAGTGCACTGAATCTGTAGATCATTTTGAGTAATATGGACATTTTAACAATATTAATTCTTCCAGTTCAGGAACATGGGATATCTTTCCATTTATTTGTGTCTTCTTCAATTTCTTTCATTAATGTTTCATAGTTTTGATTGTAGAGTTTTTTTTACTTCCTTGGTTACATTTATTCCTCAATATCTCATTTTTCTTGTAGTTTTGTAAATGTGATTCTTTTCTTGATTTTGTTTTCAGAAAATTTGCTATCACATAAGAAAATACTATTGATTCTTTAAAGTTTATTAGAATAGTACACTTTACTTATGTGAATGTATGGTATGTAAAATGCATCTTGATAAAGCTGTTAAAAATGTATCATATCTTTAGGAAGTTGCAAATCAAAGCAACAATGAGATATCATTATATATCCATTAGATGGCTAAAATTTGAAACACTGACAATACCAAATGCTTATGAGAATGTGAACCAACAGGAACTCAAGTTCATTGGCAGTGGGAATGCAAAATAATACAGCCACTTTGGAAGCCAGTTGGCAGTTTCTTTTACAAAGTTAACCATAGTGTTAACATACAATACATCAATCACACTCTGAGGTATTTACCCAACTGATTTAAAAACTTATGTCCATTAAAAATCTGTACACAGGCTGGGTGTGGTGGCTCATGCCTGTAATACTAGCACTTTGGGAGGCCAAACGGGGGTCAAGAGATCGAGACCATCCTGGCCAACATGGTGAAACCCCGTTTCTACTAAAAATACAAAAAATTAGCTGGGTGTGGTGGCAGGCGCCTGTAGTCCCAGCTACTCAGGAGGCTGAGGCAGAAGAATCATTTGAACCTGGGAGGCGGAGGCTGCAGTAAGCCAAGATTGTGCCGCTGCACTCCAGCCTGGGCAATAGAGCAAGACTCCATCTCAAAAAAAAAAAAAAATCTGCACACAAATGCTTTATCCATAATCGCTAAAAACTGGCAGCCATCAAGATCTTTATCAACGGGAAAATGGGTAAACAAATTGCAGTGCATCCATACAATGAAATATTATTCAATAGTAAAAAGAAATGAGCTACCAAGCCGTGAAAAGACATGAATAATATTCAAATGCATAATGCTAATTTAAAAACAGCCAGTCTGAGTAAGGTATATACTGTATAATTTGAATTACATGATGTATTTGTCCATTTTCACACTGTTGATAAAGACATACCTGAGACTTGGAAATTTACAAAAGAGAGCATTTTAATTGGACTTACAGTTCAACATGGCTGGGGAAGCCTGACAATCATGGCAGAAGGCAAGGAGGAGCAAGTCACGTCTTACATGGATGGCAGCAGGCAAATAGACAGAGCTTGTGCACGAAACTCCCATTTTTAAAACCATCAAACCTCATGAGACTTATACACTACCATGAGAACAGCACGGGAAAGACCCCGCCCCCATGATTTAATTATCTCCCCCCTGGGTTTCTCCCACAACATGTGGGAATTATGAGAGTTACAAGATGAGATTTGGGTGGGGACACAGAGCCAAACCATATCACGTGACATTCTGGAAAAAACAAAATTATGTGACAATAAGGGCAGTAGTGGCCAGGAGTTCAGGAAGGCAGGGAAAAGTTTAAATAGGTAAAGCATGGAGAATATTTTGGGGCAAGGAGACCATTCTGTATGGTAAAATAATAGTGGATACTTGGTATTATGCATTTGTCGCAATCCATAGAACTTTGCAAAACCAAGAGTGAAACTAACATATGCAAATTTTAAAATTATGTAGGAGGTAGGAGGATTCCCGGATGAATTGTAGACTGCAACAAAAGCTTTTAAATGTATTACAAATGTGTAAAACAAACTCACTGACAGGAATAGAGTTTAAGGTGGTGATCTAAGTAACTATGGAAATGAATGGAGTTTGAAAACCTAAAGGAAAAAGGAACTGCACATTAGTATTATACTATATTTGATAAAGTGTTTCCCATGCAGGTATAGGTTAACAGTTCTGATACTACTGTACATGTATATAAAAATTGAACAATTGAGTAAATGGATGCTATATGGTGGAAGGCAGATTTCTTTCTAACGCAATGGTAGTTTATATATAAGCAGGGTGAAAGGTTAGAATGGTTCACATAGTAGTGTAGAAAAGTTGGAAACATCAGTATGAACTCATTCTTTGCTTATGTAGATAGAGAAAGTTACAGATAAAATATTTATAGATAAGTATACATGCACTGGTTAGTATGCATACATATATTTCCCTGTTCTGTCAGCTGAAAGGGCCTAGAAATGATGAAACCCCAATAGTAATGAGCATATCTAGCATCTAGGACTTGATATCTCTTAGCAGTCATCTTAGCAAAGTTGATGCAAAAGTAATTGCGGATTTTGCTATTACCTTTAATGACAAAAAAAACGCAATTACTTTTGCACCAACCTAAAAAAGGAACCCTGGCTCCTGGGAGAAATGGCTGACTCTAGAACTAAAGCAGGCAATACACAAATAAGCCTCGAGCATAGTGCTAGAAAATAAGGAAGTCTTTAAAAACAATACATAAAAAAACTACGTTGATGGAGATATGCCAAAGGCACACATGAGGCCACCAAAAGATCACCCAGTTGCTAATGTTGAAATAATTTAAGCAGCAAAATAAATGAGTATGTATTGACCGAACACGGTGGCTCATGCCTATAATCCCAGCACTTTGGAAGGCTGAAGTGGGAAGATCACTTGAGCCCAGGAATTCAAGACCAGCCTGGGCAACACAGTAATACCCTGTCTCTATTAAAAAATAAAATAGACTGGGTGTGGTGGCTCATGCCTGTAATCTCAGCATTTAGGGAGGTTGAGAGGGGTAGATCATGAGGTCAGGAGATCGAGACCATCCTGGCTAACATGGTGAAACCCCGTCTCTACTAAAAATACAAAAAATAAGCCGGGCATGTTGGCACGCACCTGTAGTCCCAGCTACTTGGGAGGCTGAAGCAGGAGAATAGCTTGAACCCGGGAGGTGGAGGTTGCAGTGAGCCAAGATCTTGCCACTGCACTCCAGCCTGAGCAACAGAGTGAGATTAAGTCTTGAAAAATAAATAAATAAAATAAAAAGAAATAAATTAGTATTGAAGTATAATCCAAAATATAAATATCTGTGAGTACCTGTGAGTACATGGTAACATAAATAAATGATAAATAAATGGGAGAATATAGACAAACCTCTTACGCAGAGCAATTCCAAGTGATTTATTTAGTAACTCTGTGTGTGTGTGTGTGTGTGTGTGTGTGTGTATTTATTTATTTATTGAGATAGGGTTTTCCTCTGTCACCCAGGCTAGAGTGCAGTGGCATGATCACAGTTCCCTGCAGCCTCGACCTTCTGGCCTCAAGTGATCTTCCCACTTCAGCCTCTGTGCTCACCACCATACCTGGTTATTTTTAAAAATTTTTTTTTTTTCACAGACAGATACTCCCTGTGTTCCCCAGGCTGGTCTCAAACTCCTACCTAACCTCAAGTGATCCTCCTGTCTTGGCTCCAAATTGCTGAGATTACAGGCATGAGCCACCATGCCCAGCCCTATATATATGTTGAAAACAAATTCTCTTGATAAAATGTGATGAAAAAGCCACTTTACCTTTGTGGTCTTCTCCCAAAAACACATAATACAGCTTAATCGTATGGAAAATATCAGACAAATTATAATAGAAGGTCATTCTATAAAATATCTACTCCTCAAAACTGTCAAGGTCGCCAAGAACAACAACAAAAAAAAGGTAAGACACTGTCACAGCCAAGAGGAACCTAATGAGACAGGACAGCTAAATGTATTATGGCATCTTGGCTGAGATCCTTAAATACAAAAAGAATATTAGGCAAAAATTATGGAAATCTGCAAAAGCTTTCAACTTTAGTTAATAATGTATCAACATTTGATCATTATTATAACAAATGTGCCATAATGATGTTAATAATACAGGAAACTGATTGTGGTCTTTATGAGAACTCTGTACTGTTAAGGTTTTCTTGTAAATCCAAAATTTAAATTTTTTTGTTTTTTAGTATTAGAGATTTAAATGTGAAAAGTAGAATACATCTTCTTCATGCAAACATAGATCTTCATGACTTTTGAGTTGGCAAATATCTTAAGGAGAATTTAAACGCTCTTCATACTAAAGAAAACTTTGATAATATGAACCTTACAAAAAAGGAAAAATTATCTTCATTAAGTCACTATTTTTAAAATTTCAATTAAGAGAATTAAAAGGCAAGTCATCAGTTAGCATATTATATTTCAAAATATATATTTGACAAACTACTAGTATTGTTGTAGGAAGAACCAGGTTCTTGTCACATGACCAGAAAAGCCTAGGCTCGCAGACACTTTGAAGGATGAGGGGTTATTTATCGGGCGGAATTTATTGGGTGTAAAGGAAAAGCAGCACAGCAAAGTGAGAGGGGTTCTTGTTAGGCCCCCATCTGACAGGTTGAATCCCAGGTTATCACCCAGGAACAGGAGAGGCCAGGCTTGTCTCCTCTACAAAGGGCGCCAACTTCCCCAGGCCCCACCCTCTCCTCCCAGTGAGAAGAGAAGACCAGTTGGAGATTCTCCAGGGAGCCCTTTTTACTTGGTTGTCTCAATATTCATAACAAAACAAAGATACTTAAATCCGGAAGAAAAAAAAGTAAATTATAGTAGGCAAACAATTTAAATATACACTTCGTAAAATGGTTATGCCCCCAGTTATATGAAAAGTTGCTCAACAGCCTTAGTAATTGGTGAAATGCAAATTAATACCAAGATAAATTATGACTATACAGTTACTAATATCTCTAAAAATAAGAGGAGTAACAAGTGTTGATGACAATTGGAGGAACTGAAGCACATATATATTACAGGTGAGAGTGTATATTGGTACAATTGCTTTGCAAAATGTTTTGGCAATATTTATTAAAGTTAAGCATATCCTACTGTATAGCAACAATTCTAATTTTAGATATATACAAAAGTAGAATGAACGATATTAAAAGACTGTTTATGACAATTTCATAGTCAAAAACTGGACGAATACTATGTACATCAACAACACCAAAATTCCTCGTATTATACTACAGTAGAAGGCAACTTCCTGAATCTCATCTATGATAGCTATCAAAACTTATAGGAAGCCTCATATTTAATACTGAAACATTTTTTGTGATTATCAGGTCATGTTAATTACTTTGAGTTTACTTACTAAATTCAGAAGAAAAAGACAAGGATGATCTTTAATATTGCTTTGTAATATTTGACTGAAAGTCCTGTGTAACCCAGTAAGACTAGAAAAAGAAATGCAGGTGTACAGTTTAGGAAGAAATAATTGACATTGTCAGTATCTATACACTATATGATTCCTTACTTAAAAAAAAAGTCAACCGAAGTTAGAAAATAAATTGCTAACAGATTTCAATAAAATAACAGTTGCATTATAAAATATTAACAAATTATTAGAAAAATATGATTTCACAAAAATACCGTTATCCACTGCATAGCAACATTTTGGTCAATGACAGACCCCAAATACAACAGCGATCCCATAAAATTATAATGGAGGTGAAAAATTCTGGTTGCCTAGTGACGTCATAGGTCATAGCTGTCTTAATGTTGTAGTTCGATAGATGCAATAGGTTCTTCACACATTTGTGGGGATAGTGATGCTAGTGTAAATAAACCTACTGTGCTGCCAGTGGTGTAAAAGCATAATACATATAATTACGCACAGTGCATAATAGTAATGAGAAATGACTGGTGTATGTATTTACCGTACTATACTTTTTATTGTTATTTTAGAGTATATTTCTTCTACTTAGATATATTTTTTAGAGTTGACTATAAAACAGCCTCAGGCAAGTCCTTCAGGAGATATTCAAGAAGACAACATTGTTCTCACAGGAGCTGACCACTCCATGCCTGTTACTGCCCCTAAAGACCTTTCAGTGGAACAACATGTGGAGGTGGAAGACAGTGAGATTGATGATCCTGACCTTGCCTACTATTCTACAGGCTAATGCATGTTTGTGTCTTCATTTTTAACGAAAACATTTAAAAAATAAAAAACAGTAAAACATTTTTTAAATAGTAAAAAGCTTATAGAACAAGAATATAAAGAAAGAAAATGCTTTTGTACAGTTTTATGATGTGTTTGTGTTTTAAGCGAAATATTATTACAAGAGTCAAAAAGTTAAACAAAAAGTTAAAAAGTTCTTAAAGTAAAAAAAATCATAGATTAGGTTAATTTATTACTGAAGAAAGAAAATTAAACAAAAATTAATTTGATATGGCCTGTATGTACAGCGTCTATAAAGTCAAGAGTAATGTGCACTAACGTCCTAGACCTTTACATCCATTCACCACTCACTAATACAACCACGACGGCTTTCAGTCCCGCAAGCTCCATCCATGGTAGGTGCCTATAAAGGTTCACCATTTTATATCTATTATACCATATTTTTAGTGTACATATGTGTTGGATACATATGTGTTAGATGTTTACATATGTGTTGGATACATATGTGTTAGATGTTTACATATGTGTTGGATACACAAATACTTACTATTGTGTTAAATTACTTACAGCATTCAGTACAGTAACATGCTGTACAGGTTTGCAGCCTAGGAGCAATAATTGGTCATACCATATAGCCTAGATGTGCAGTAGGCTATATCACTACGATACAGTGATAGTCTATCTCACTATATCACAGGGAATTCTGTAAGTACTTACAGACCTATTGCTCCTAGGCTACAGACCTGTACAGCATGTTACTGTACTGAATGCTGTAAGTAATTTAACACAATAGTAAGTATTTGTGTATCCAACACATATGTAAACATCTAACACTTATGTATCTAACACATATGTATCCAACACATATGTACACTAAAAATATGGTATAACAGATATAAAATGGTGAACCTTTATAGGCACCTACCATGAATGGAGCTTGTGGGACTGAAAGCCGTTGTGGTTGTATTAGTGAGAGGTGAATGGACGTAAGGGTCTAGGACATTAGTGCACATTACTCTTGATTTTATAGATGCTGTACATATAGGCCATATCAAATTAATTTTTATTTAATTCTTTCTTCAGTAATAAATTAACCTAATCTACGATTTTTTTTACTTTAAGAACTTTTTAACTTTTTGTTTAACTTTTTGACTCTTGTAACAATACTTCACTTAAAACACAAACACATCATAAAATTGTACAAAAGCATTTTCTTTCTTTATATTCTTGTTCTATAAGCTTTAAGTACTTACGGAGTTCCCTGTGATGACACAACAACGAAATTGCCTAATGCATTTCTCAGAACATATTCTTAAGCAACACATGACTACATACCGTTTACAATAGCCACTAAAAGTATAAGATTTCTAGAAATGATTTTAATAATGGCTATTAAAAATCTTAATGAAGACAATTATACAATTTTATTTAATGAATTTAAACCTGATCTATAATACATAGATACATACAAGTTCAGAAATAGCAAGATGCAGGGTTAAAATTACAACTATTATTCTGAGAGAATTTTGTGGAAGATTCAGGCTTAATCTAAATATTTTGTGGAAGGACAAAAGGTCATGAATATTTAGGAAAAATTTCAAGAAGAACATGTATGTGAGTGGGGCGGGGGTGTGAGTGTGTATGTGGTGGGAGGTGGTAGGGCTTGTTCTTTCAGGAAAATATCTAGTCTTATTTAAATTTAAAATAAGTAAGATTGTGTGGTATTAGTATAATTATGGGAAATTAGACTTCCAAAATCAAATTTTAAAACCTACAAAAAGATGCATGCATATATGGAAATTGAATAAATTATAGAGATGGAAAACATTGCTACAAGTAAAATGGAAAAGAATAAACTACTTAAAATATGCCACTAGGGGAAGTGGCTATCACATGGAAAAGAATTAATTGGAAATATGGATCTTCCGTAAATAATTAATTCCAGATGGATTTAAGAGACAATTCTGAGAAAAGTGAAATTAATGGAAGGAAATAGGTGAAAATATCCTTATGAACTTGGTCTCAATAAGGTTTTTGAAGGATACTGAAAATGTAAAATGTATTAAAAGGAAAGATTTTTTACATTAAAAGTTAAAGTCTGTGTAGGTTAAAAGAGGCACCATGAGTGAAAATCATCTGCACATTGGGAGAAGCTATCTGTACTATGAGATTCCATACACAGACATGCTATTTGTTATGGGCCAGTTGTTCGGAGTTCTGAGGATGCAGCAGTTTATAGAAGAGTGAAAAATGCTTGTCCACAAGAAGCTTACATCCTAATCCTATAGCTGGTGTGTGGTAAAATCAGCACTTGGACCTATTGCACTCACTGTGTAGCTCATGTTTCTATATCACTTTACAAATTTTAAGCTGGGTTAATATGGTTCATCCCTGACAACTGGATCCACTCTCAACTTTAACAGAATCTAAACCTACAAACATTAAGCTCATGCTATGGTGAATTTTTTAAAATAAAAGTAATCTTGGGAGCACTCAGCCTTAACAGAAGACATTAAGTCTCATAAAATATAAAGATACGAATGTCTCAAGAGCTCCTGTACGTCACTTAGAAAAAAAAATTAAGCCTCAAAGAAAAATTTGCAAACCATGGGAACAGGCAATTGATTCATAAAAGAGGAAACACAAATAATGATTAAATGTATTGAATGTACTTTACCTCACTAGCAGTCAGGGGCCTTGGCAATCAAAGCAATATGAGGTACTATTTCATTCTCATCCAACTGGTCGGACTTAAAGTCAGCCAATACAAGTGTTTGAGTAGATGTGGATCAATATGAACTTTTACACACTGCTGGTGAGTATAAATTGTGCATCCCTCGGGAAAGAGCAGATTGCTTATATTTGATAAAGCTGAAGCCACCCATATCACATGACTCAAGAAATCCAATTCCATGTGTACAGCCTAGAGATATGCAAAAATGCTTACTGCAACATTGTTTCTAATAGGAAAAATGGAAAAAAAAACAACTAATTATCTGTTAACAGAAAGATGAATATACACATCAAAGACTATCCATTTAGTGAATAATAAATAGCAGTGATAATGATGGCCTAGAGCTCTACTAATGAAGACGAATCTCACAAACATACTTTGGGATAAAAATATAAACTGCAGGCCAGGTGTGGTGGCTCACACCTGTAATCCCAGCACATTGGGAGGCCAAGGTATGGGGATCACTTGAGGTCAGGAGTTCAAGACCAGCCTGGCTAACATTATGAAACCCTGTCTCTACTAAAAATACAAAAAATTAGCTGGATGTGGGGGTGTGCACCTGTAGTCTCAGCTACTCAGGAGGCTGAGACAGGAGAATCACTTGAACCCAGGAGGCGAGGTTACAGCGAGCTCAGGTTGTGCCACTGCACTCCAGACTGAGCAAAAGAGCGAGACTCTGTCTCAAAAAAAAAAAAAAGAAAGAAAGAAAGAAAGAAAAATATATGTAAATTTCAAAAAGACGCATATACAGTCCCTTTTAAGTGAAGTTTAAAAGTATGAAAAGCATTACTATATATTGATTACAGATTCATGCATATGTAGTAAATATATTAAAAAGTATGAGAAAAACTCTAAATTATTATACTGTTTACCTCTTTGAAGGAGGAGAAAAAATTCAATTAGGGATGTGGATTAAAGAAATTGCATATGAAACATGCCATTTCTCAGATCACTACAATAATCATATACTTGAGTATCACAGACATGAAGGCCAATGAATCAGGTAAGCAAAAAATATTTACTTGTTGATTTTTCTACTTATGCAAAGCCAATATTACATTTTTATAATGTGTTAAGATTTTGAACTATAACTACAGAAGAAGTTTTAAAGAAAAGTATTACTGACTTATAAAACCATGAGAATAGTGTAGAAACACCTGCACAATACTTATTCACACCCACACATTAGTTATTCTTTTTTTTTTTTTTTTTGAGACAGGGTCTGTCTCTGTCACCCAGGCTGGAGTGCAGTGGCGCAATCACTGCTCACTTTGTCCCCAACCTCCTGGGCTCAAACGATCCTTCCACTTCAGTCTTCTTACTAGGCTAATATTCTTATTGTGAGGCTAATCCGGATGGGTATTAATATTGCCCCTGAAGAACACAAGAACATACTCATGGTTATCTAATCCAATATTCACTGCTCCCTTTCAAAATAAACCATTTTATCAGAATAAACCATTTTACCAGCAGTGACATATGTTCTGAAATAATAATTTTATATATGTTTTTAATCTTTGGTACAAAATTGAACATATGGGAAGCTGTTTCAAAATACTTTTGCCTAAACACCATTGGAAACCTACTGAGTAAATAAAACCCCTAGATATCAATTCTAATGATGAATATGTTAAAAACATATTGTCCAGGTGTTTCTAATGTGAACTCCCAATTATGAACAATTGATTAATGCTATCAACATCCAATTAAGCAAAGATTGGATTATCTGCATTTAAAATTGCCTTTGTGTGTATTTCAGGAGGGATTTTTTTTGCTGCACTCAATATCATGACTATGTAAAAGGGCATGTCTAGAAAGATAAAGAGACTGGATAAGTTCAACACATTCTATTTAAACTTTTGGTCTTTTCCCTACATTGCAGCTCCCTGTGCTTTTACATATCAAATATGCATAGAATATACTTCTGAGATGATTTCACCCAAGAATAAGTATGCTTTAGAATTAAAGAGTTGTTTGGCAAATAATAACTCAGTCTGATAATACAGCTATTGATTTATTAAATATTAAGATTTTGTCATTTTTAGTGTCATTACTCATTTTAGTGTCATACAGTGATTGATAGCTTTGTTTTTTAATTTTACAGATTTTAATTTCAGAATCAATAATAAAGTACTGATACATAATTTATGGGAAAAGAAATCAGCAACCTCTCCAGAAGGTGAATATATTAAAGCCTTAAAATACTTACTTCGCATCCCCAGCTGAGAAAAAAATTAAGGACTAGAAAATACATTTTAAATTCATATTAATTATTTAGAATCACCAGAGGGAGGACTACCATTGTCCATTTCACAACTGTCTAAGTTCATAAAGTTTCCAAAGATCTTACAGCTACTTAATCAAGTTCTATCCAGAAGCGGTTTTCATCATGAAGGTAAAGATCTAAGGTGAAGGAATATTATACCTTATTACACTTCATCTGAAAACAAAAATAGACTTCTTTTCCTTTTATCCCTATTGGATGTTTTGTACATCAAATGACAAAAAAAACCTGCTTCATTGAAAGACCTTGTTATCAGTTAAATTTCATTACTGAATACTTATCTGTTTAAGCCACCTCTTTCAGTGATATCATGTAAATAAGCAAATAGAGTGTCAGATACAAAACGATACAACTGCTTAGAACCCACACAGATTAGGAGCTGTCATGTATTCCTCACAACAACCTTGTACTATAGCTTTGAATGTATTATCTTTCTGAGGAGAGATAAGAGAAAAAAAAGTATGCCAAAACAATGCCATCTTTTGAAAGACACATACAATTTAGCAGAAGAAAGGAAAAGAGGTTTTTGCAAAAACAAAAGGCACATAAATGGTCAGGAACAAGAAAAGATAGCTAGGAAAAAATAATGACCTAGAAGTCAGAGAAGAAAGATACAGCATTGAGTCTGGGGATGAAGTAGCATCTATCACAAGGCTACTATGAGCCAAGTGCTTCACGGGCATTCTATCAATTAATCATTTTATCATCTAATTGCTCCATGTGAAAGCTAATTATTTTCTCAATGTATAGATGATACAATTTTAGACAAGACTCTCAAAATCTATTTAAGTAAGAAATATAATGTGTCATTTCATTTCTTTCTCTCTATGCATGTGAGAAAAAACCCCAATGATTAACTAACTTATGCCTCTTCAAAGAAAATTACTTATACCTTGAGAAAAGAAAAGTATTTATACTTTTGAGAAAATAAAGATGTTCATTTAAATATCATTTCAGGACACTATGTTATTGAGTAAAGCAATCAGTTGGAATTACACACCTTAGAGATTAAAGGTTAATTTAATAAGACACAACAGTGATATCAGAAGTCTGGTTTTTTGTTTGTTTGTTTGTTTTACAAAGTCTCATTATTGGGTTTAATTTTTTTAAGACTAATTCTTTGATGCAGATTAAGAGGTAATTTTTTTCTTACCTTCTGTAGCTTTTCTTTTTTTCTTTCTTTCTTTCTTTTTTTTTTTTTTTTTTTGAGACGGAGTCTCGCTCTGTCGCCCAGGCTGGAGTGCGGTGGCGCGATCTCGGCTCACTGCAAGCTCCGCCTCCCGGGTTCACGCCATTCTCCTGCCTCAGCCACCCGAGTAGCTGGGACTACAGGCGCCTGCAACCACGCTCGGCTAATTTTTTGTATTTTTAGTAGAGATGGGGTTTCACCGTGTTAGCCAGGACGATCTCGATCTCCTGACCTCGTGATCCACCCGCCTGGACCTCCCAAAGTGCTGGGATTACAGGCGTGAGCCACCGCGCCCGGCCTGTAGCTTTTCTTTTAAACTAGCAATTAGAAAGACATAGTTTCAAGGCTAAGAACTGAAATTTCATTGGTTAGTCTAGAGGAATAAAAGACGGCCGACTAGAAAACTCAACTTCTATGATATGGAAAGGAAAAAGTCAGAAATGATAGTTAAAAATTGGCATGTGGAGTTAATGGTTTAGTCCTGTATTGCTTTGCATTTACCTAAGAAATCCAAAGTCAAACACTTACGAATGGTAGAACTGTTTGTGGACCTATGTCTGCCTGAGGCCAAAGTTTATACGGGCTCAATTATTCCTTGGCCTTTCTCTCACTTTCAAGAAGGTAATCAGTAAGCATGTAGAATTTAAGATTGATAAAAAAATTAGAAAGGGTCACAAATTTGACACAAAGGAAACAATAGTAGGGAAATAATTTAGATTCATAACAAACAGCAAATTGGAAGAAGAGAAACTGTAGTTTTATGAAAATATCGGAGTATAACTTGAAAACCCACTCATGACCTAAAAATGATGGCTGAGCTAGCAAGCAAGAAAGAAAAACACACAGATGACAGAAATTAAGAAGAAATGAAAACAGAAGTGGAAAGTAAAATGAAGCATTGCTATAATAGACATGAACTTTATCCAACTTGGGAAACTAGAGGCATGAATATGAACATTCTTCAGGAAAGATCTTGAGCCTCAAAGTCATCCATGAAGGTCAGAATCAACTTCTTCCAAACTCCTGTTAATGTTGATATCTCAACCTTTTCCCATGAATCATGAATGGTCACAATGGCATCTGGAATGGTGAATACTTTTCAGAAGGTTTTCAATTGCCTTTTCCAGATTTCTTCAGATGAATCACTATCTATGGCAGCTATAGCCTTATTAAATGTGTTTCTCGAATAATAAGACTTGAAAGTAAAAATTACTCCTAGATCTGTGGCCTATAGAGTGAACCTTGTGTTAGCAGGCATGAAAACATTAATCTCCTAGTACATCTCCATCAGAGCTCTTGAATGACAAGGTGCATAGTTAATGAGCAGTAATATTTTGAAAGAAATTTCCTTTTCTGAGCAGTAGGTCTCAACAGTAGCTTAAAATATTCAGTAAACCATGCTGTAAACAGATGTGCTGTTATCTAGTATTCATTATTCCATTTATAGAGCACAAGCAGAGTAGATTTAGCATAATATTTAAGGGCCCTAGGATTTTCCAAATAGTAAACAAGCATTGTCTTCAACTTAAAGTTACCAGTTGCATTAGCTCTTAACAAGAAAGTCAGCTTGCCCTTTGAACTTTTGAGCCAGACATTGACTTTCTCTCTAGCTGTGAAAGTCTTAGGTGGCATTTTCTCCCTATATAATGCTGCTTCATCTAGTGATGAAGTTTAGTGTAGCCATATTCATCGATGATCTTACCTAGATCTTCTGGATAACTTGCTGCAGCTTCTGCATGAGCACCTGATGCTTCACCTTGTACTTTTATGTTATGGAGAGAGTTTCTTTTCCTAAACCTCATGAACCAACCTCTGCTAGATTTAAACTTTTGTTCTATAATTTTCTTACCTCTCTCAGCCTTCATAGAATTAAATAGAGTAGGGTCTTGCCCCAGATTAGGCTTTGGCTTAAGTAAACGTTGTCGTTGGTTTGATCTTCTATCCAGTCAACCGAAACTTTCTCCATATCAGCAATGCAGCTGTTTTGACTTTCTTATCATTCATGCATTCACTGGAGTAGCACTTTTAATTTCCTTCAAGAACTTCTCCTTTGCATTCACAACTTGGTGGTTTGGCTCAAGAGGCGTAACTTTCAGCCTATCTCACCTTTTGACATGCCTTCCTCACCCAGCTTAATCGTTTTCAGCTTTTAATTTAAAGTGCATTACATGGCACTCTTTCTTTCACTTGAACACTTAGACACCATTGTAGGGTTATTAATTGGTCTAAGTTCAATATTATTGTGTCTCAGGGAATAGGGAGGCCCAAGGAGAGGGAGAGAGGTGGGGAACAGTGGAGCAGTCTGAACATACGTAACATTTATTTATTTATTTATTTTATTATTATTATTTTTTGAGACGGAGTCTCACTCTGTTGCCCAGGCTGGAGTGCAGTGGCGCTGTCTCGGCTCACTGCAAGCTCCGCCTCCCGGGTTCAGACTATTCTCCTGCCTCAGACTCCAGAGTAGCTGGGACTACAGGCGCCTGCCACCACACCTGGTTATTTTTTGTATTTTTAGTAGAGACAGGGTTTCACCGTGTTAGCCAGGATGGTCTCGATCTCCCGACCTCGTGATCCGCCTGCCTCGGCCTCCCAAAGTGCTGGGATTACAGACATGGGCCACCGCGCCCGGCCACAGGTAACATTTATTAAGTTTGCCGTGTTACATGGGTGTGGTTCATGATGGCCAAAACATCTACAATAGTAACATCAAAGGTCCCTGATTATAGATCACCACAATAGATAAAATGATTATGAAAAATTTGGACTATTGAGATAATTATCAAAATGTGACACAGAGACACCAAGTGAGCACATAGTGTTGACAAAAATGGTACCAATAGTCTTGCTTGATTCTGGGTTGCTACAAGCTTTCAATTTGTAAAAATCTCAACATCTGCCAAGAGCAATAAAATGAAGTGCAACAAAATGAAGTATGCCTATATTTTAGTTAAGTCACTACAAAACCAGGTAATAACAAACCATGTCATTATACAAGTTGTCTCTAAGATTCTAAAAAACCTGCTCCATAAGATTAGCACCACATGTACCTAATTTTACAATGCAACTGAAGAAGATACTCTTGTATATTCAACATTGTGAAGATTTAAAAAATTCACTTTAACATCATGTCTTACTAGGAAACAATCAGAGCTATGAATTTCTTGTGGAAATTATTCTCTTTGTATTTTCTTGAATAGCAATAAGAAAATCAACTGCTATCTGCCCTCAAGGAGCTAAAGGGAGAATACACTTGCAGGTGAGATACATTGTCTTCCTTCTGTTGAAATGAAACTGCTATCAGTGTGCTTAGCAGCATATGTAAATAACAGATTGAAACTTGGTCACAGAGAATTTTCTGTTCCCGACATCTGTTATACTTGACAGATGCCCCAGTGCCAACATGGCATCAAGTAAAGTGAGACTACAGAGAAAGTAGGAACTCCCACTGTCTTACTCCTTTCTGAACAAAAGCACCATTAACTCAAAAATGAGGTTCTGAGCTGAATAAACTATATATGATGTCTGTAGTTCGTGGATGTAGAGGCATGTGTGATTTCAGTAATTAAAATATCACATTCCTTGCTCCCTGCTCCTGACAGACAGGTGGTCTGGTTTACTTAATCTTACATTTGAGTTCATAACATTTCAAAATGTTTTCATTTATTCTATCAGTAGGAAGAAACAGAATATCTAAATAGTGTTAAATGTTTAATCCCAGTAATAAGGACAACATCATGATGTTAATAAATGCATATGCAAAAACATGAACAGCAAAATGACTGAAAAGCAAATGCAAATAACAGACATTGTTTAATTTTGCTACTGTTGCAATGATTGCAAATTAAAGCAAAATTGAGGGATAATTTACAAGGCATGCAATTTAAAGTGACATATGTCACCAAAAGCTAGTGATAGTGCATTAAATCTGTAGTGCTGCTGCACAGATTGTAGAATGGCCATTTTCAAAAGCAATTTGGCATATCAAAGGCCATTACAAGTGTTTATAAGACTCACTTGAGGAAGCTGCTGGTTAATTCGGTGATGATAAACAAGCAGAAGCTATTGACTTCCTCCATAAAATCCTATCCTGGAGCAACGGGGGAAACAAAAGGGAAATACGAATGCCAGAAAGAAACCAAAAATCTAAGCAAGCTCTTCAGAGCATGGAGTGTGTTTTGGGCAGTTTATGTCTGGAGTGTGAGTGGCTGAAGGCAGCAAAAGAAGAGGGAAATGGAAGCAGCAAGGACAGGGCTGGCCAGAGGTAAGGTGTTTTGTTTTGTTTTGTTTTGTTTTGTTTTTGGCAGAGTCTTGCTCTGTTGCTCAGGCTGGAGTGCTGTGGCACAATCTCGGCTCACTGCAACCTCCGCCTCCCGGGTTCCAGTGATTCTACTGCCTCAGCCACCTTAGTAGCTGGGATTACAGGCACACGCCACCATGCCCGGCTAATTTTTGTATTTTTAGTAGAGATGGGGTTTCACCATGTTGGCCAGGCTGGTCTTGAACTCCTGACTTCAGGTGATCCACCTGCCTTGGCCTCCCAAAGTTCTGGGATTACAGGCATGAGCCACCGCACGTGGCCCAGAGGCAAGCTTTTATTCTTAACTTTTTACTGAAAAATTGCATGCATATTATAAAACATAAAAAGTATGCAACTCAGCAATCACCAAGGTAAGTACTTTTCAGATCAAGACAGAGAACATTAGCAGCATCAAGGTCCAGGCAACAAACAATACCAACACCCAGAAGCCTTCCTCCTGCCCTAACCTGGGCTACTCTCCCCAGAAAGGTCAGTAATTGACTTTTGGCTGTTTTTGAACTTCCCTACGTAGGTAGAGTCATTCCCTTTTGCATCTGGTATGTTTAGCTCAAAGTTACATGGAAAGATTCAGACATTAGTTCTAAAAGTTATTCATTGTAGTTCTAAAAATTATTATTGATATGTATCTTTATTATTTAATATTTTAGTTATATTATATCATATTTATTATTTATATATTGCTATTGTTTGAAGGTTTGCATCCCTTCAAAATTCATGTTGAAACTTAATCCCCAATGCAATAGTATTAAGAGGTAGAGACTTCCCTAGAAGATTAGATCATGAGGGCTCTGCCCTTATAAGAGGACTTAAGCAAGTCTTTTAGGCCTTCTTTTGCTCTTTGACTCCTTTGCCATGTGAGGATGCAGCAAGTAGCACCACCTATAAAGCAGAGAGCAAGACTACTAGACAACAAATCTGCTGGCAGCTTGATCTTGGACTTCCCAGCACCTAGACCTGCAAGAAATAAACTTCTGTTGTTTATAAATTACCCAGTCTAAGGTATTTTATTATAGTAGCCTGGACAGACTAAGATATGTATTATTTATTATTTTACTGTACATAGCAGTTTATGAAATACTATTATGTATAAATATATCAAATCTTTTTTATCATACTCTTAATGGTCATTAGGGTTGTTTCTAGTTTTTGCTACTATGCAAGAAAAAAAGCTGCTAAAATTTTCTCGTACATATTTCTCTGGTGCAAATATATACTTGTTATACTGGATCTGTGCCCAAAATCATTTAAATTCTTGCCATTATAGGAAGAAAATGAGGATAATGATGTTTAAGAAATCATCAAAAATAAATAAAACAAAATAAATCATATAACTAATATTTTTTCTATTATATATATATATGTCCAACAAAAGAAAACTTGATCAATCAATAGAAAGTGATAATGAAGGAAAAAGAGGACTAGAAGATACAATAGATAAAAAGTGTGAACTAAAATAACAAGAATGATTTTTAAAATAACAATAACTTAAATAAATATAAATGGGTTAAACATCAATTCAAAGACAGTAATTATTTGGTTTTATTTAAACTGCACAAGATACAATAATACCGATGGGACATATTTTGATAAAAAACTATAATAGTGGTTGAAAATCAAATATTGAAAAATTATACCAGGTAAATATAAATATAAACAAAGACAGATGGGGTAACAATCTTATATGACAAAGTAAAATTTAAAGCAAAATACGATATAAATACAGTGTAAGTTGAAAGGATATTGTATATATAAAGAGAGAAAAATTAGAAATAAATATCACAGGATATATGCACAAATTATACATCCTCAAGTCATAGTAAGCATCAACTGATATAATTGCAAGTAGTAATACGTGCATGTCAGTAATTGCTTTGGAAACTTTAATGCAATCCTCTCATAAACTGAAGGTACAAAAAGATGAAACTTAAGCATTAATACTAGGATATCAAATGACATAAATAATAAGTTTAATCTATTAGATATATGTAAAATTCTACATTTAACAGAGAATAAACATTTTTAGCAGGATTAATATATTAACAAAATATATTCTTCGTTAAACCACAAAGAAGTTTCAATTAACTTCAAAGTATGAATAACAGAGCATATGCTTTCTTGCAAAATACTATAAACTTACGTATTAAAGCAAAAAGATAACTAAAATATTCCATAGGTTTTTAAGCTAGAAAATGTATTATTAAATAACTCACTCGCTAAAAAAATGCTAATGGAAATTTAAAAAAATATTTACAAGTGATTGATAACAAAAACACTACAGACCAGTGCTTGTAAGATGCGGCTAAAACAGTAAGAAACCAATATACAATCCTAATCAAGATTTCAGTTGGATATAATGAGAAACTTGATAAACTTTTTCTAAATTAAAAATAAACATATTGCAAAAGAAAACATATGAAAGCCTTCAGAATGTGGCCTATGGGACAGGAATGAAAGAAAAAATACAAAGAAAAATATAGGCATTGCTCTAGCCATTCAACTAATTTAATTAGATAACTTATAAGAAAAATACGTTTCATGTAAATAATTCAGAAAAAAATGTATGCAAATTGATTTGTTATAGTGTTATTTACAATGAGAATATATTTTCATTGTTCTTAACATCCAACAACAGAAGAATAACACACTGGATTAATAAAAGGAAATATTATGCAGGCATTAGCATGAGACAGATTACATACATGTGTCTGCAATGAACTTTTTTAAACAACTATTTCTGGTAAAAATAAACTAGCTTCATAAAATGCATTTAATATGCTTTATGATATTACAGACCCTAATTCTATGTAAACTGGATGATGTATGTCTGAATAAAAATAAGATACAATCAGAGACAATATGAAGTGTTATGATAGAATGAGGTTAACATAATTACCTAATATAACCTTTTAGTTTCTTTAAATATCATATGACACTTTCTTGACAAATTTAGACAAAAACACTTGTTTTAGTTTGCAATCCTAGGGATTTGCTTTAGCATATTTATAAAAGAAAATATGAGTTATACAATGTCAGATGGGAAGTCGTTCAGTTGTCAACTATCTATGCTATGGTGGAATGCCCAAATATGACCATTATATACACGGCAACTTATTTTATCTTCATTATACCTTGTGTTCATTTATTGATTCCATCCTCATGACCTTAGGTTTATTCTGTCTATATATTATTGCATTCAATTCGGTAGAAAGTTGTGGAGAATCTAGTGAAAAAAAGTGTTGGATTAATACAAAAATTAGTCGGGTGTGGTGGCTGGTGCCTGTAATCCCAGCTACTCCAGAGGCTGAGGCAGGAGACTCGCTTGAACTCAGGGGGCGGAGATTGCAGTGAGCCGAGACCGCGGGCCACTTCACTGCAGCCTGGGCTTAAGAGTGAAACTCCGTCTCGGCGGGGTCGGGGGGGAAGAGATATGAGGAAAATTGCTTTTCTTGACACTAGGAGACATTGCTATACTGTAATAATAGTGTGGTGATTGTTGCTGACCTGTTCAGGTGTTACTTTCTCCCCTGTTGTTTTCTTCAAGAATATGACCAAAATACAAATTTGGAAAGAGGGCTGTGAGCCTAAGAAGGATAACAATGGAGACCCTAAATTCATTTTCTTATAATATTGAGCTCCTTGCTGGCCACAAAAAGACCAAACAAACCAAAATAAATCTGGCAGAAACCACACCTACAAACAAAATTAATTACCATTATGACTTTCAGTCCCTTTTCTCTTATAATTTATTAAGCCCTATCTCTATTTTCTCAATTACTAGAAAAACCATCTGTATCCTGTCTACTCAAGACTTCATGGCACTTTTCCATATCTTTAGAGACATCACTATACACACATGTACGCACAAATGCGCGCGCGCACACACACACACACACACACACACACATATACACAGAACTAGGCTGATGAGATATGTGTTTCAAGAAGTCCTTGTCAGCAACAGTCCAGTTCAAAGCATCTGCAAACCTACAGGCAGCCCTGTAATTGTCATAAAGTCAGAGCTTGAGGTGAGCAGCTGGCTTGGAAAGTTTGGGTAGGTGAATTGCTTTGTAGCTGATTTCAGTGGCAAGCACACTTGAATTGTTTATTTCAAGTGTCTTGGGGTTGTCTAGTGGAGACTGTATAAGGGACAAAAGCTATAAACTTCAAATAACCCACTGGAACTACTTACTGGTTAAAATCTCTTCTGTTGTATTAGTTGGATGTCAGATGACCCTTTCAAGTTTTGAACTTTTAGAAACCATTTTGATTTCATAGTAGTCTATATATGTATTAATTAAAGGTAGTAGTAGTTTTAAAATCCATTTCTTTAAGGACATTTTAGTATTCAGAGGAGTAGATTTGGGTAGAGATGCTGAAACCTGACAAATGGTACATTCTTGAGAAAGAAGAAGAAAATACAAGGAAGCCTCATTGCCATTAGTAAGAGAACTAAAGCTCGAAGTTCCAAAAAGACTATGAAAACTTCATCACCAAAGCCGTAAGATGGCATGTATGCACAGAAATATGCTGAGAAGTTATAGAACATTCTATCGCCAAGAAATATTTAGGGCACCCTGAGCAGAAGTCCGAGTGATAATCTCATCACTAGTATAAAGTCATTTAATAATTAATATTATACCTTTTAATTACATGATAATTATAATTCCTGCTCTAAACAAGAAGCATGAACCAAATTTAACCTTGAGAAGTAATTAAATATGTCTGGAGAGTTTCCACATCTGTTGTATAAAGTGGCTGGATTATATTCATGTTCAGCAACAAGTTATTAACAACCTAGGATATACAGGTGTTTTAATGTAATGTTTTAAAACATCTATTTTAACAATGTTTATTAAGTGTCTTCCTTCTGCCTGGCACTGAGAGATGTAACAGTGAACAAGACATAGTCTTTAAGGGAAACTGACAAGTGAAACATTACAAGGTGGAATAATGAGCAGATAAACACAGAACACTGACAGAACTATAAAGACAAATAATGCAGGCTTAGACAATATGGAAACAATTTTAAGAGAAAAGGACATCTATTTACGTTGAGACAATTACGTGTGTTACTTCATCTTTATTAACAACCCTTTAAGTTAGGTAATGTGATCTCTATTTTATAGATAAGATTGAGGTTTAAATAATATATACCTCATAATTAAATATATACATATATAGAGAAAATATTTTATATAAATACATATATAAAGTAAATAATATATATTCATATATATCATACATATATACATATAAATGAGTTAAAATAATATATGCATAGACAGATGGAGTGGTGTTCTTCAAATCTTTATAGTGGTTCTTTGTCTCAGTGGTGCGATTTCAAATGAATTTTAATTTCATCTATATACCTTCCTGCATTTAAAAATGTTAAACGTATTTGCACGTGAAGCTATTTCAAAACATTTTAGGCCGGGTGCGGTAGCTCACGCCTGTAATCCCAGCACTTTGGGATGCCGAGGTGGGCGGATCACGAGGTCAGGAGTTCGAGACCAGCTTGACCAACATGGTGAAACCCGTCTCTACTAAAAATAAAAAAATAGCTGGGCGTGATGGCACATGCCTGTAATCCCAGCTACTCAGGAGGCTGAGGCAGGAGAATCGCTTGAACCCAGGAGGTGGGGAGGTTGCAGTGAGCCGAGATTGCGCCACTGCACTCCAGCCTGGGCGACAGAGCAAGACTCTGTCTCAAAAAAAAAACAAACACATTTTATATAAGTATAAGATATATATATGCATATGTATATGTGATATGGAAATGTTATGCACCATAAATATGTATAAGAAATGAGATATATGATCATGATATATGTGTAGATATAACTTACACACATGCGCAACTTTTTTTTTTCTATTTCTTCTAAAAAAATGGGATACATGTGCAGAACATGCAAGTTTGTTACATAGGTATACATGTGCCACGGTGGTTTGCTGCACCTATTGACCCATCCTCTAAGTTCCCTCCCCTCACCCCCTACCCCTCAACAGGCCCTGGTGTGTATCGTTTCCCTCTCTGTGTCCATGTGTTCTCAGTGTTCACCTCCCACTTATGACTGAGAACATGCGGTGTTTGGTTTTCTGTTCCTGTGTTAGTTTGCTGAGGATGATGGCTTCCAGCTTCTTCCATGTCCCTGCAAAGGACATGATCTCATTCCTTTTTATGGCTCATAGTATTCCATGGTTTATATATAACACATTTTCTTTATCCACTCTATCATTGATGGGCATTTGGGTTGGTTCCATGTCTTTGCTATTGTAAATACTGCTGCAATAAACATACATGTGCATGTGTATTTATAGTAGAATGATTTATATTTCTTTGGGTATATACCCAGTAATGGGATTGCTGGGTCAAATGGTATTTCTATGTCTAGATCCTTGAGGAATCGCCATACTGTCTTCCACAATGGTTGAATTAGTTTACATTCCCACAAACAGCGTAAAAGCATTGCTATTTCTCCACAGCCTCACCAGTGACTATTGTTTCCTGACTTTTTAATAATCGCCATTCTGACAGGCATGAAATGGTATCTCACTGTGGTTTTGACTTGCATTTCTCTGGTGATCAGTTTTTGTTGAGCTTTTTTTCATATGTTTGTTGGCCATGTAAACGTCTTCTTTTGAGAAGTGTCTGTTCATATCCATTGCCCCCTTTTTGATGGGATTGTTTGTTTTTTTTCATGTAAACATATTTAAGTTCCTTGTAAATTCTGGATATTAGATGTTTGCCAGATGGGTAGGTTGCAAAAATTTTCCCCCATTCTGTAGGTTGCCTGTTCACACTGATGGTAGTTTCTTTTGCTGTGCTGAAGCTCTTTAGTTTCATTAGATCCCATTTGTCAATTTTGGCTTTTGTTGCAATTGCTTTTGGTGTTTTAGTCATGAAGTCTTTGCCCATGCCTATATCCTGAATGGTATTGCCCAGGTTTTCTTCTTGGGTTTTACATTTAAGTCTTTAATCCATCTTGAGTTAATTTTTGTCTAAGGTGTAAAGAAGGGGTCCAGTTTCAGTTTTCTGCATATGGCTAGCCAGTTTGCCCAGCACCATTTACTTAATAGGAGATCCTTTCCCCCATTGCTTGTTTTTGTCAGGTTTGTTGAAGATCAGATGGTTGTAGATGTGTGGTGTTATTTTTGAGGTCTCTGTTCTGCTCCATTGGTCTATATGTCTGTTTTGGTACCAGTACCATGCTGCTTTGGTTACTGTAGACCTGTAGTATAGTTGGAAGTCAGGTAGTGTGATGCCTCCAGCTTTGTTCTTTTTGCTTAGGATTGTCTTGGCTATATGGGATCTTCTTTGATTCTGTATAAAATTTAAAATAGTTTTTTGTAATTCTGTGATGAATATCAATGGTAGTTTGATGGAAATAGCATTGAATCTATAAATTACTTTGGGCAGTATGGCCATTTTCACAATATTGATTCTTCCTATCCATGGGGATGGAATGTTTTCCATTTCTTTGTGTCTTCTCTTATTTCCTTGAGCAGTAGTTTGTAGTTCTCCATGAAGAGCTTCTTCACATCCCTTGTTAGCTGTATTCCTTGGTATTTTATTCTCTTTGTAGAGATTGTGAATGGGAGTTCATTCATGATTTGGCTGCTTGTCTATGGTTGGTGTAAAGGAATGCTTGTGATTTTTGCACATTGATTTTATATCCTGAGACTTTGCTGAAGTTGCCTATCAGTTGAAGAAGTTTTTGTGCTGAGACGATGGAGTTTTCTAAATATAAAATCATCTTGTCTGCAAACAGAGACAACTTGACTTCCTCTCTTCCTATTTGAATACCCTTTATTTCTTTCTCTTGCTTGATTGCCCTGGCCAGAACTTCCAATACTATGTTGAATAGAAGTGGTGAGAGAGGGCATATCGGTTTTCAAAGGGAATGCTTCCAGCTTTTGAACATTAAATATGATACTGGCTGTGTGTTTGTCATAAATAACTCTTATTATTTTGAGATATGTTCCATCAATACCTAGTTTATTGAGAGTTTTTAACATGAAGGGATGTTAAATTTTATCAAAGGCCTTTTCTGCATCTATTGAGATAATCATGTGGTTCCTGTCTTTGGTTCTGTTTATGTGATGGATTAGGCTTATTGATTTGTGTATGTTGAACCAGCCTTGCATCCCAGGGATAAAGCCAACTTGATCGTGGTGGATAAGTTTTTGGATGTGCTGCTGGATTCGGTTTGCCAGTATTTTATTGAGGATTTTCACATCGATGTTCATCAGGGATATTGGCCTGAAGTTTTATTTTTTTGTTGTGTCTTTGCCAGGTTTTGGTATCAGGATGATGCTGGCCTCAAAAAATGAGTTAGGGAGGAGTCTCTCCTTTTCAATTGTTTGGAATAGTTTCAGAAGGAATGGTACCAGCTCCTCTTTGTATTTCTGGTAGAATTCAGCTGTGAACCCATCTGGTCCTGGACTTTTTTGGTTGGCAGGCTATTAATTAGTGCCTCAATTACAGAGCTTGTTATTATTCTATTCAGGGATTCAGCTTCTTCCTGGTTTAGTCTTGGAAGGGTGTATCTGTCCAGGAATTTATCCATTTATTCTAGATTTTTTAGTATCTTTGCCTAGAGGTGTTTATAGTATTCTCTGATGGTAGTTTGTATTTCTGTGGGGTCAGTGGCGATGTCCCCTTTATCATTTTTTACCGTGTCTATTTGATTCTTCTCTGTCTTCTTCATTAGTCTAGCTAGAGGTCTATCTATTTTGTTAATTTTTTAAAAAAAAACATCTCCTTGATTCGTTCATTTTTTGGAGGGTTTTTCATGTCTCTATCTCCTTCAATTCTTCTCTGATCTCAGTTATTTCTTGTCTTCTGATAGCTTTTGAATATTTTCCTCTTGCCTCTCTGGCTCTTTTAATTGTGATGTTAGGGTGTTGATTTGAGATATTTCTAGCTTTCTGATGTGGGCATTTAGTGCTATAAATCACCCTCTTAACACTGCTTTAGCTGTGTCCCAGAGATTCTGATACATTGTCTCTTTGTTCTCATTGGTTTCAAAGAACTTGATCTTTGCCTTAATTTCATTAATTACCCAGGAGTCATTCAGGAGCAGATTGTTCAATTTACATGAAATTGTGTGTGTTTGAGTGATTTTCTTAATCCTGAGTTCTAATTTGATTGCACTGTGGTCTGAGAGACTGTTATGATTTCTGTTCTATTGCCTTTGTTGAGGAATGTTTTACTTCCAATTTTGCGGTCAGTTTTAGAATAAGTACCACGTGGAACTCAGAAGAATGCATATTCTGTTGATTTGGGCACAGAGTTCTGTAGACGTCTACTAGGTCCACTTAATCCAGAGCTGAGTTCAAGTCCTGAATATCATAGTTAATGTTTTGTCTCATTGATCTGTCTAATACTGACAGTGGAGTGTTAAAGTCTCCCACTATTATTGTGTGGGAGACTACATCTCTTTGTAGGTCTCTAAGAACTTGTTTTATGAATCTGGGTGCTTCTATATTGGGTGCATATTTATTTAGAATAGTTAGCTCTTCTTGTTGAATTGTTCCCTTTACCGTTATGTAATGGCCTTCTTTGTCTTTTTTTATCTTTGTTGGTTTAAAGTCTGTTTTGTCAGAGACTAGGATTGCAATCCCTGCTTTGTTTTGCTTTCCATTTGCTCGGCAAATTTTCTTCCATTCCTTTATTTTGAGCTGATGTGTGTCTTTGCACGAAAGATGGGTCTCCTGGATACAGCACACTGATGGCTCTTGACTCCTTATTCAATTTGCCAGTCTGTGTCTTTTAATTGGGGCATAATAGCACATTTATATTTAAGATTAGTATTTTTACATGTGAATTTGATTCTGTCATCATGGTGTTATTTGGTTATTTTGCACACTAGTTGATGGAGTTTCTTCGTAGTGCCATTGGTCTTTATATTTTGGGGTGTTTTTGCAGTGGCTGGTACCAGTTTTTCCTTTCCCTATTTAGTGCTTCTTTCAGGAGCTCTTGCAGGGCATGCATGGTGGTAAGGAAATCCCTCAGCACTGGCTTGCCTTGAAAGGATTTTATTTCTCCTTCACTTATAAAGCTTAGTTTGGCTGGATATGAAATTCTGGGTTGAAAATTCTTTTCTTTAAGAATGTTGAATATTGGCCCCCAATCTCTTCTGGCTTGTAGAGTTTCTGCTGAGAGGTCCACTGTTAGTCTGATGGGCTTCCCTTTGTAGGTAACATGGACTTTCTCTCTGACTGCCTTTAATAATTTTTCCAGGAGAATCTGATTGTCAGGCCTCTGAGCCAAAGCTCAGCCATTGTAACCCCTGTGACCTGCCCATATATGTCCACATGGCCTGCAGGAGCCAAGAAGTCTGGAACAACCGAAAAACCACAAAAGAAGTGAAACAGCCAGCTCCTGCCTTAATTGATTGACCAACCTTACGACATTCCACCATTATGACTTGTTCTTGCCCTGCCCCAACTCATCAATCGACCTTGTGACATTCTTCTTCTGGACAACGAGTCTTATGATCTCCCCACCATACAACTTGTGACCTTCTCCCCTGCTAACAATAGATAACCACCTCTAACTGTACTTTCCACTGCTTACCCCAGTCCTATAAAGCTGCCCCCTCCTATCTCCCTTCACTGACTCTCTTTTTGGACTCAGCCCAGTTGCACCCAAGTGAATAAACAGCCTTGTTGCTCACACAAACCCTGTTTAGGTGGTCTTCCATACGGACACGCATGACACTGATGATTATGTGTCTTGGGGTTCATCTTTTTGCGGAGTATCTTAATGGCGTTCTCTGTATTTCCTGAATGTGCACATTGGCCTGTCTTGGTAGTTTGGGGAAGTTCTCCCGGGTAATATCCTAAAGAGTGTTTTCCAGCTTGTTTCCACTCTCCTGGTCTCCTTCTGGTGCTCCAACCAATCGTAGGTTCGGTCTTGTTATGAAATCCCATATTTCTTGGAGGCTTTGTTTATTCCTTCTCATTCTTTTTTCTCTATTCTTATTTGCATGTCTTATTTCAGTAAGGTGGTCTTCAGACTCTGATATCCTTTCTTCCACTTGGTCTATTCAGCTGCTGATACTTGTGTATGCTTCATGAAATTCTCATGCTGTGTTTTTCAGCTCCATCCAGTCGTTTATGTTCCTCTCTAAACTGGTTATTCTAATTAGCAATTCCTGTAACCTTTTATCAAGGTTCTTAGCTTCTTTGCATTGTGTTAGAACATGCTCCTTTAGCTAATTGTAGTTTTTTATTACCCATCTTCTGAAGCCTACTACTGTCAATTCGTCCATCTGATCCTCTGTCCAGTTCTCTGCCCCAGTGGAGAGACATTGTGATCATTTGGAGAAGAGGTACTCTGGCCTTTTGGGTTTTCAGCATTTTTTTCATTGATTCTTTCTCATCTTAGTGAGTTTGTCTAGTTTTGGTCTTTGAGACTGCTGACTCTTGGATGGGGTTTCTGTGGGGGCCTTTTTTGTTGTTGTTGATGCTGTTGTCACTTTCTGCTTGTTTGTTTTTCTTTCAATAGTCAGGTCCCTTCTGTAGGGTTTCTGCAGTTTGCTGGGGGTTCAGTTCAGGCCCTATTCAACTGATTCACTCCCATGCCTGGAGATGTCACTCCACGGAGGCTGGAGAGAAGCAAAGATGGGTGCCTGCTCCTTCTTCTGGGACCTCAGGCCTTGGGGGCACCAACCTGATGCCAGCAGGATTGCTGCTGAATAGGGTGTCTGACAACCCCTGTTGAAGCGTCTCACCCAGTTGGGTGGCACGGGGAGCAAGACCTGTTTAATGAAGCACTTTGTCCCTTTGTGTGTTTTTCTGGGGGGAAACCCATTCATCGGGGCTTCCTGGATTCCTCAGAACTACAAGGAGGAGAGGGTAAGTCTGCTGGTCCTCAGATACTGTGGCCACCACTCCCCGCTAGGGGCTCAGACCCAGGGAGATCTGAACTCTGTCCCTGAGCCTCTGGCTGGAGTTATTGGAGATCCTGTGGGGAAGCCCCACCCACTGAGGAAGGAAGGGTCAGAGTTAGGCCTGAAGGGGCACTCTGGTTGCAGACTGCCACAGCCAGTGTGTTGGGCTGTGGGGACAAGTCTTGGGACTAAGCCATTCAGCCTCCCTGGCTCCAGAAGGAGAAAAGCGCAGCCTGGAGCTATACAAATGGATGTCGCTGTTCCCCCGTCCAGGGAGCTTAGCTTGTTAGGCAGTTGCCAGTCCCAGTGCTGGCTGCTGCCCCTCCCACAAGGAACTCAAATGGCTTAGACACTAGGCAGCCACAGCCAGTGCTGGTTGCCCCTACCCCCGGGAGTTCAGTAGGATTAAGCAGATTCCAGCTGAGAGGCTGTAAGAATCTGTATATTCCGGGGTTAGGATGCTAGGCCACAAGTAAAATATTATCATTTTCAGGCAGGATGGTTGTATACCTAGGTAGTAGGCTGATATTTTAAGTTATCTTTTTTAGTCCACATAAAAGACAAAAAAAAATTCTTAGACTCATTTTTTTTTTCTCTCCACCATGCTACATAAAGTCTTTTCAAATCTGGAGAAGAAGGGGAGTGAGGGGTTAATCAGGATATTGAGATGCCTGTGGTGCAGAGCTCTGAAGAAGGACCCCATTATTTTTGTACTCTACATCTAATAAATGCAAGAATGCTGGTGATAGAATTCACAGAAGTTTAAGGCTCTGAAAGTAGCAGAAGCTTTCACTCTCACATAGAATCTTAGAAAAGAGAGAAAGGTCTTGGAACTGCCCCTTTATCTTAACACTGGACAGAACAGTCTTTTGGTAGGAATGGTGAGATGTTATGTCTAAGCAAAGATCTGAACATTTCCCCAGGTAATCTCTGTGACCTCTGAATGATGTGAAAGAACACTTGAAGGTTGCCAAGGGCTCCATTAAAATGGACTCGGTGTTATCCATAGAGATGTTTTTGTGTACATGGATGGGTTTACAGATGCAGTCTTAGGATGAATAATGGAACTTATATCCAGAGGTTGAATGGGAACATGTATATCTAACGGGATGCTAGTATGGAGGAATGACTACAGTTCAGCAGTAGCTTGGGTCATACATCTCCATTAGTGACAGCATAGGAAAAATGACCAGCCCAAAGTCCACGAGATAATATCCACATCAGAAGATGCCAGTGTGGACAGGTGACTCCTCTCCTAGTGCCATGATGCTAATTAGAAAATGAGTCAAATGCCACTCTCAGACTAATAAAAGATTTTAATAGAGTGATCAAATATTACATATGTATATTCACATTAATTTTTTACATAAAATAATAATAATCTCATTTAACAAGAATAATCAGTTAATGATAGAAATAAGGAAAGAAAAAACTCATATTATTAATAAAACACTCAGAAATACTTTTAAATGGAAGTTTACATCTTCTCTAAAAAGACCTATAGTATTTCACTGACAACTACAGATGAATAATGAATGTTGAGAAGACTGATAGAACAAATGCAAATTCCTGCCTACTTAAAACGTCAGGAAACAACAGGTGCTGGAGAGGCTGTGGAGAAATAGGAACACTTTTACACTGTTGGTGGGACTGTAAACTAGTTCAACCATTGTGGAAGTCAGTGTGGCGATTCCTCAAGGATCTAGAACTAGAAATACCATTTGACCCAGCCATCCCATTACTGGGTATATACCCAAAGGATTATAAATCATGCTGCTATAAAGACACATGCACACGTATGTTTATTGCGGCACTATTCACAATAGCAAAGACTTGGAACCAACCCAAATGTCCATCAATGATAGATTGGATTAAGAAAATGTGGCACATATACACCATGGAATACTATGCAGCCATGAAAAAGGATGAGTTCATGTCCTTTGTAGGGACATGGATGAAGCTGGAAACCATCATTCTCAGCAAACTATTGCAAGGGCAAAAAAACCAAACACCACATGTTCTCACTCATAGGTGGGAATTGAACAATGAGAACACTTGGACACAGGAAGGGGAACATCACACACTGGGGCCTGTCATGGGGTGGGGAGAGAGAGGAGGGATAGCATTAGGAGATATACCTAATGTAAATGACGAGTTAATGGGTGCAGCACACCAACATGGTGCATGTATACATATATAGCAAACCTGTATGTTGTGCACATGTACCCTAGAACTTAAAGTATAATAAAAAAATTCTAAATTTAACACAATTGAAATTAACATTATAATGGGTAATTTATAATTCTTAAAGTTCTTTGGAAAATAAACAAATATCATTTTTAAAATTGTATAAACAAGAGCTAGGATTAGCCCCAACTTTGTAAAGTTTTAATAATTCAATAAAATATATTTAAATCTATATAAGTGGAAAAGTAAAACTAACTTTAACATGACGCTTTTATATATGAAGCTATTTTATGATAAAGGCATGTAGCAGGATGGGTTGTTGGAAAAGGGTTAGAATGTTCACTAAATCCTGTTATGAGAATTACTTAGAGTTTAAATTAGGTTATCAAGATCATATCTCATTTTTTTGATTCTTCTTTTGTATGTGATTATTTTATTCTCAGTTTACCCCGTATAATCACAAACATGACCATGGGCAACTTCAGGCAGAGAAAAGGACATATTCCCCCTCGGGCTGTACAGAAGTACCTGGTTGATTTTCACTGGACTGAAGGCAGATACCCATTCGTGGATAAATTCATTGACTCTGTCCAAGTCCAGGTTACTTATGTACAATAAAGGTCCCTATGCTACTATCCAAGGAAGGTTGACTTACTCCCCAATGGAAAATCAGGATGCTGTTAACAGAGGAAGAGGGAATTAGTTTGATACAGGTAAGGAACAACCGATATCTGCAAGAGTTAGTAATTTAAAAACAAACACAAGCTAACAAATAATTAAATTTACGGATGCATCTAAGGGCAAATTGAAAAAAATCAAATCATAAGAAATATGAAATGAGATAAATATAAATATTTGTTAAATTTCCAAGGAGAGAGGAATTGTTCTGAGCTTAATATTGATGGAGCAATCTATGAAGTAAAGATGAATACATAGAAATGCAAACTGATTTTTCTATATTCAAAATAAATACAGCCACATTCTCTAAAATTTGTCATTTTTTTCAGATTTTGATATTTTTGCTATATAAAAATTTTTATTTTTATTTAACCAAACATGTAGGTTTCTATCTTTTTTCTCACTGATTTTTATACTGAAAAAGTCTATCTCTCACTCATAGCCCCAATTAAATATTAACAACAAATTTTTGCAATAAAATATGAAACAACATAAACAGAAGCATAGAGGGTGAGCTAAAGTGTAATAGATAAGCATGATATAATATTATTTATCCATTGCTAACATTCTATATGTAAAGTAAATAATACTTTGCATAGTGAAAATCTAGAAATAAAAATAAAGGAAGAAAAGGGGTATTGAGAAAGTAAAACTTGAATAAAAATTAAAGTAGGTGAAGGAGCAAAGCATGAGAATGGGTAGAGGAAGAGCCATGGCAGAGGAAACTGCAAGTGAGTTACTTGCAAGCCTGACACATTTGAAGACAGTGTAATAAAGCAAAGTGAGAAACCAGTTTTAAAAATTTAGTAAAAAGAATAATGAATATATTTGTGCACATACACTCTCAATCATGTATAAATATGTATAGAAAACTCCTAGTTGGAAAACTAGAAAATGATAAAAGTAGTACTAAGGATGATTTTGTTCAATTTTTGCTTTTCTGTCATTTCAATTTTTTACAAAAAACATATTTTCCTTTTACACGAGTTTTCCTTTTAAAACTCATTGAACAGGTACAGATTTAGCAACTGAAAGAATTGCACAATTTAAAACCATGAAATGAAACCACATACCTGATATTAATTACCAAATTTCCAATGTAAAAGCATGCCGAGTTCTTAGTCTTGTACAAAAACTGATGAATACAGATTCTCATCAACAAAATGTTTTTCATTCTCTTCCCAGAATTGCTCAGCTAACAAATAACCAGACAAGCAACTTACTGTCTTATGGTGAGAACATCAGCCTTGTGCTTAATTTAAGTTATGACTTCATAGCAACTTGCCAAATGTGAGATAATATCTTCTCATTCCTATTAGTTCAGTGAAATATCTATAAAGGCACATTTGAACCCTTAGAAGATGGCAAGGCTCAGTCCCTGAAATGGGATTATAGTTCCTTCTTTGCCAGAGAGTTGACGGACGGGTATCAATCCCATACCTCCAGAGCACAGAATGTGTGCACAGCAATTACACAGGGACAAATGTGTTTAAAGAGCACACTCTGGTTCTGCCAGCTAGATCAATAAGTGACAACCGAGAGTTGGAATTATCAAGACATGGTGGGTCTGGAAATTGCTTTTAACCTTTGCCTTCATTTATTACTGCCAACTCCTTAGAGGAAACATTTAAAATATGAGTGACCAAATGGCACTATGACATTCTAAGTGGGCTACTATGTATGTAGATGGGTTACCGGAATTGTCGGGTCTTAAGCTGAGTCTCTTTCTCTTCACATATCATCTCCAGCACATCCCGAAGAACATAGGTGGAAAATGTGTGGTCTGAGTTGTTTTTTCACATGCTGGATGCCTTCAGGTAGCCAGAGACATGTCCACAGAGAGAACAGCACATGCTAAGTATTTTGAAAGGGCGATAAAATGCTTAGTATTCAGTTTGCTTTTAGTTTGTACTGAGCAAGGATTAATCTGAGCTGGTGCCTTTGCCCTCAGCTGAACTCAACCTGGAATTATATCACCCTCACAGGTTCCTGTGATCCAGCCAAATGTTTATTTGCATAAATATAGCCAATAATTGCTTCTTTCAGTTCTGTTTATTCCTCGTTACCATTGGTGATGTATTCATTGTTTCTTTTGGCTCTGGGAATCAGTTAGGGTAACATTAGCTGCCATAACCACCAGTGATTAACACCAAAAAAGCTTATAGTGCGATAGTTCCAGTTTACAGTGCAATATAGACATACCTAGCCACTAGGTGAATTTCTTCCACATAATCATTTAGGGATTCAGGCTTCTGCTAACTTGATGTTCTGTCATCTGCTAGAGCCCCCAGAGTCCCCTGCATCAAACCCGTGAGAGGAAACCAGAATGAAAATGCTCCAACTGATTCTTATACACTGTACGTTGAAACCATGTCCTTTCTAGTCTGATTTCATAGGCAAAAAGTAGTCATATGCCCATATGGCATATTGTTGCAGTGGGACTGGGAAATAGAGTTTCTTGCTAAGCAGTTTGTCACTTAAGAGTTTCTGGAAGATGGAATGTGAATTTTTAGGTGAACAGCTAGTTACCTCTGCCAGAGTGACTCTGATTGGGTTCTTGTTAATCTTTAGCAATCTCTAAAAATGGTGTGTCAAAGTGCCAATCCTTTCCCTTCTGGGATCAGAACTTTGTTAGGGTAAAGTTTGGAGGGAGAAAAATGACTGCTGACTTTCTTCCAACCATCTCAAGTCCCAGAGCATAGGGTGGTAGACATGTCCTTCACCTGCCCACACAGTTGGGGAAGGACCTATTGCTGGCTCCCTTAGGCAACATCTAGAGATAATAAACTCTTCACTGTTGGTAGCCTTTCCCAGCATTTTCCTCAATAAATATTTCTTATTAGTAATAATCTTAAAATCTTGAGCTGAGGCAGCCTCATATACTAGAAAGAGCATGGGCTTTGAGAATAAGCAAGGGCAATAATAACAACCTGCTTTTGAATTCCTGTTCTTGTTTACTAGTATATGCCCTTGGGTGATGAAATGAAACTGAGTCTGGAATTCTCCATCTTCAAATTGGCAGTACATCTGGTCTCTCATTGAGCCTGACACATTTTTGGCACTATGTAAACCATGTCTATTTTCCCTCGCAGATAACAGTTAACAACAAATTGTTCAGAAGTAGAGCATTAGAGAGGTAAACTTTCAAGATGTTCTTCTAGTAATTAATATACCTAAAGCCAGTAAGCTATAAGGCTCATCATAATCTCAAGAGAAATATTGATTCTTCGGTATTTTTTTAAAAGGAGAAAAATACTTTTAAGGTCCACTATAGTACTCTTTAGTTTTTCTGGTAAATTAATTTGAAGGCTGAAGAGATGGAGGAATCATAAACCAGGATGAATGTAAATGTTCTCCAGTCATCCTTTGGAGGAGTAAGAGTGACGCTGGAGCCTTGTTTTGTCATGGCTGGCAACATGTCCCCCTTCGGCAGGGCAACAGCTATCATTTGTACTTTTCTGTGAGGTAACATTCAATTGTTCATTACCATTTATTTCTTCCCAGTCCAGAAGTATGGAATGAGTTGTTTCTAGGCAATCTGCTTCCATTCATCCTCCTTAATCATGAGAAGACAGTATTGAGACAATTACTTTATTCTATTCTTAAGCACTGTGTGCTATTTCATGCCAAGCATTGTGCTTGCAATTGTAAATAAGACATCTCTGTATTTTTGAACTGCTTATTGCACAACTCTATTTGGATGTCCCTTGCATTCAACAGGTCCAAAAGTGAACTCCATATCAAGTGGGAGATTTAACCAATAAGGCTCAAACATAAGCCTCATAAGCACAGGTTTCCTCCAATGTCATGGAAGTAATGTAGCAATATGTTCATAGTCACATGGTTTAAATAAGGTGGGCAAATTGCATAAGCTTCATGCTCCACAAAACCTAGCTTCCTCTTTGTTCTTACCAAGTCTGGCCCTCTCCCAGTATTCTCTCCTCAGAGTGCATGGAACTACCATGCATTCAGTTGCTATAGCCAGACACCTTGGAAGACACCTTTTCTTCACTACTCTCTTTTCTTCACTCCCGTCAGACAAATCAACTATTTGATTTGTTCATCATCAACAATGCCACTCTTAACTCCTAAATTCAAGCAGGTCTATTTCTCAATATTCTCAGTAAAAGTATCCTATTCAGACTTTCATTTTCTCACCCACATTAACACAATAGGTCCTTAAGTAGTCCTGGTAGACTGATATGTGAGAAGTACTACTATAAAGTACATTGCCAAGCAGATAAAGAAATTCTTGAGAAATATTAGCAATTATGAATGTACTGAAGCAATTGGAAATTTATTCAACAACATGAGCAAATATACTTGGACATAATAAATTAAAAATCAAGTTTCCAAAGAATGTATATAGAATTTTCCTCATTTCCTGTTTAAAAAAATTTACCCCCTCCCCACTCTTTCTTATTCACCAAAATTGTAGCAGGGTTTAGATTTGGCTTATAGGATTATTAATGATGTTTTTCTTTAGTGTTAGTTTCTATTTTCTACAATGAGTATATATTACTTTTGTAAGTAGACAAGAAAAAGATAGCAAATGCATAGTCCAGAGTGTCTACAATGAAGTCTGCTTATTCATTTCAGGTTTAGTAAATAATATATTATAATCTGGTACACTTGCAAAAGGCCATGGGCTTCTCAGAGACTGGAGGTTCCCAGACATGGAGAAGTAAGCAATGAGAATGCTGACAGGAAAGGTACATTTTGGAAGATACAGCACAGCATTTTGTGCTATGAGAAAGATGGTCCCTGAGATCCCTGTGGCTCTAGTTCCTCACAGAGGAACAGCATCAGCGTATTACAGGCTTCTTGACCCTTTTTCAGATATTTTTATCATTTATATCAGACAGACCTGCTTTCAAATTAGTAACACTTATAGTTCATTTAATTTCTCTGCACCTCCTATAACTCAGCCATAAAATGGAGATAATGAAAGTAGCTATTAACATAAGTTGATTTTGAGTATAGTACCTGCTATGTAGTAAACATGCCACAAATGTTATTAGTTATTAATATTCTTCTCCTTCCTGTTGTAAGAGGAAAATTATTTGCTTCCTTCACCTTTCTGAATTGGACAAAAGAAAACATGAGATTAAATTGTCTTAGTAAATATGACACTACATTATAAAATTGGATATAATATTATTTGTTTAAGAAATAAACACTCTGTAGCCGGGTGCGGTGGCTCATGCCTGTAATCCCAGCACTTTGGGAGGCCGAAGTGGGCCGATCATGAGGTCAGGAGATCGAGACCATCCTGGCTAACACGGTGAAACCCCATCTCTACTAAAAATACAAAAAATTAGCCGGGCATGGTGGTGGGCGCCTGTAGTCCCAGCTACTCGGGAGGCTGAGGCAGGAGAATGGTGTGAACCCAGGAGGTGGAGCTTGCAGTGAGCCGAGATAGCACCACTGCACTCCAGCCTGGGTGACAAAGTGAGACTCCGTCTCAAAAAAAAAGAAATAAACACTCTGTGACTAGCAATCATTCTCCCCCTTCCCCCACACAAACAACCTATCCTACTTGGTAAGACAATATTTATTTTCTGTACAGAATGAATTAACGACCTGTAGTGTTAATGTCATATCTTAAATTTACATTTAATTAATTAAATTTGACAAGTTTTCTAGAGTTTACTAAAGATTTAAGCCCTAATTTTTACATATTCATTTTTTCAACAAGCATTTATTATATATCTCATACTAGCCTAGATGCCAGTGATATTGTTTGGCTGTGTCCCCACCTAAATCTCATTTTGAATTGTAATTCCCACAATTCCCACATGTTGTAAGAGGGACCCGGTGGAAGGTAATTGAATCATGGGGGCAGGTCTTTCCTTTGCGATTCTCATGATAGTGAATAAGTCTCATGAGATCTGATGGTTTTAAAAGGAGGAGGTCTCCTGCACAAGCTCTCTCTCTTTGCCTGCTGCCATCCATGTAAAACATGACTTGCTCCTCCTTGCCTTCCACCATGACTGTGAGGCCTCCCCAGCCACGTGGAACTGTGAGTCCATTTAACCTTTTTCTTTTGTAAATTGCCCAGTCTCAGGTATGTCATTATCAGCAATGTGGGAACAGACTAATACAGCCAGGAACACAAAAATGAATAACATGGCTCCTTCTTGAAAAGGAAACTTTGGCTAGTAGGGATAAAATGGATAATGAAATTATTCTAATACAATGCAACATATAATATTTCAATAATGCCCAAGATAAAAAAAATAGTAGAAAGATTGATCAATTATTTGGTGGTAGTAGAATTTAAGGATGGTTTACTGGAAGCAATGACACCTGAACTAGATTTGAAAGAATGAAGAGATATTTACAAGTGACCAAGGATAAGGGGAAGAACATTCCACGAAGATAGAGTAAAAGAGAAAGTGTCATGAGAGTAAGAAATTACATGGAGCAGTTGGAAAATTATACAATCTGGAATAACTGGAGTTTTGGAGTAGGGGAATGTTGGAAAGTGGGATTAGAAATGCCAGCAGGGCCAATTTGCCTTGAATTTCATGCTGAACTTTTAAAATCCACCACAGTAGTAAAATGCAGTTGTTGATAAAAGTTGTTAAATATGGGAGAGATATTTTAGCTAAATAGCTTGTCAAATATGGAGGATGAATTTGAAATTTATTTAGAGTAAATGTATCATTTCAATAATCTACATATAAGTGGCTGGCATTGTTGCTTACTCAACATGTGACCTTGGACAGTTTAAGTAACCTGTCTGTGCCTTTGTTTCTTTGGCAATAAAATGATCACAATAGGTCCTGTCTAAGAAAGTAATAGTAAAACTTTGGATTACTATATGTAAAGTGCCCAGAGTGGTGCATGGCTTGTAACAAGGGCTCAATAAATAAAAGCTAATAAAAACTGTCTAAATGAATTTATTTCTTAATGATCCACAATTTGATAAATAAAGGTCAGATGAGACCAAAGAGAAAAAAAACAGATTACAGAGGAATAATTTTCCTGAGTAGGATATAAATATATTCATATAAAAATTATAGTGTTAATAGTATTATATATTCTATGGTTTTATTTCCCAGCCAACTGTGTAAACTTTGTGTTTGGCAAGAATATACAAAAAAAGTTGTGCAAACTTTTGAGGAGAAAACTTAGACAACTTTTCAACAGAATGTGACATTCACATTCATTCACTTGCATGGCTAAGTGCAGTTTCATCTTTACAGAAACACCAGGTTACTGTTTGCTCAACAGCTTCGAAATCACCAGGTAGAAAATCAATGAGCACATTTCAAAGTCAAAGAAACAATGAAAAAGGTAAATGAACTTTGTGTAAACCCTCCAACTCTCATGGCACTTTCTCTGGCCTCCTCCCCAGGATGTTTTATCAAAAAACTTAAAAAGCAAGCAAACTCTCATACCTCATGTACATTGAAATTAATGTGCTGAAAAGAAAGAAAATTTGATTTAAATAAGGTGAAGGATGCATCTATTTAATATCTTCAAAGTGATGCAATTCCAGGAAAGACTTAATCTATGAGCTAATTTTTATGCACTTTCAAAAAAGTAATGCTATGTGGATTTACCATAATAAAATCTATTTGTCTATAAAACTAAGAAATTGACAATAAATATATTCAATATAAATATGAACATGATTAAATTTCAGCGTGTCAAAATTTTATTTAAAAGAACATAGAATTTAAGAATTGAGAAACTGGTGGAAAAAAACAACAGTGATCAGTATTTTAAAATAATTTCAAAGATCTTAAAGAAACTTTTAACTCTTTAACTAAAGATGCATAAAATATTGTATAAAATGGCTCGGTGGCTTAGCCTGTAATCCTAGCACTTTGGGAGGTGGAGTTGTGCGGATTGCTTGAGCCCAGCAGACCAGCCTGAGCAACATGGTGACACTCTGTCTCTACTAAAAATACAAAAATTAGGCTGACGTGGTGGTGCATATCTGTGGTCCCAACTATTTGCGAGGCTGAGGTGGGAGGACTGCTCGAGCCCGGGAGGTCAAGGCTGCAGTGAGCCGAGATTGCACTCCAGCCTGTGTGACAATGTGAAGAAAAAAAAAGTTAATAGTTGTTATGTGGTAGAACATTTCTACATTTCTCTATTTCATAAAGGAAAATATTGTTATTTGCATTTTAATAGACGCATAATTTAAAAATGGAAGTGTAATGCAAAGAATTATTTAGGGAAAATCTACTTTAAAATCCAAGATATAAGCATTGCAATTATTACAGAAATTGATTTAAACTCCAATGAACAAAATAGATGTCTAAAATTATGAAGAGTGATTTCTCTCCCATTTCAATAAAGGAAAAGCCTCTAGTAACTGTCTTTTTCAATAATGAAAATTTTGGAAAGAGGGACATCATGCTGAGAAACTGTGCAAGGAATATCAAATTCTGTTTTCTGAATATGTCAAAATCTCAATTTCCATACAGTTATTAAAATGTGAGTGAGCGGCAACTTTTATTTTGCTTGTATATTGTTTTAGTGTCTATTTCTGTGTAACAAATCACCTCAACCCGTAAAAGCTTAAAAACAGTCATTTTAATATGCTTGTGGGCTGGGGGAAATGAGTTGAGAATTTAGCAAAGCTTACCAAGGAGTGGCTTTGCTTTATTCTCCAATCTGCAGCCTCAGCTGGGAAGACTGGGAGGCTGGAGGTAACTGGATGATTTAGATTTCTCTAGCATATAATCTTTAACATGCTTTGTAAATCTGAGCAAAACAGACCATGTGAATATAATTTTCTCATCTGTAAAATGAAGAAAATAATATTGTGTTTTTCCATAGTTGTACATAACATGTACATGTATGGAATGTGTGTGTACATACATATATATGTGTGTACATTCATGATACCTCTTTCTCTACCTTAAGCCACATTTCCTAAAATAAAATGAATTAACCACCTCAATTTACATGGCAGGAAAATTCAGTTTGCTTATTAACATAATTCATCTACCAATGAAAACACTTTAAGTGTGTTATGGTGTTTCCAATGGTGTTAATACATGTTGAGAGGTAAGATATTTATGTATGCATGCATTTTTAAATTTTAATATAGCTTCCATTTAATTATTTTTGGCATTTTGAATAATTTCCAGGAACTGCAGGATTTAATGAGTCAGTGGATGTCAAATTAGTCTTGTCTTAGGTTGGGATTATGTTGGAAATTTGCAATCTTTTTTTTTTTTTTTTTTGAGATGGAGTCTCGCTCTGTCACCTGGGCTGGAGTGCAGTGGCGTGATCTCGGCTCGCTGCAATCTCCGCCTCCCGGGTTCAAGGGATTCTTCTGCCTCAGCTTCTCAAGTATGTGGAACTACAGGCGCGTGCCACCATGCCTGGCTAATTTTTGTATTTTTAGTAGAGACGGGGTTTCACTGTATTGGCCGGGCTGGTGTCGCACTCCTGATCTCGTGATTCGCCGCCTCGGCCTCCCAAACTGCTGGGATTACAGGCGTGAGCCACTGCGCCCGGCCAAAAATTTGCAATCTTACAACTCCTCGCTCTTAACCAAATAAGTCATTTGAAGTAAGAACAATAGCATAAGCAAAGGGATTATTTTATTTCTAACACTGTAGGGCACTTTAAGATAATGATTGAAAGTATTGGCTCTGGAGCAGGGCACGGGTTCAAAAGTCAACTTCACAAATAACTGGCTGAAAGACTGGTTGCCTTCCTTAACCTGTCTACATCTTAGTCCCCACATCTGTAAAATGGGGATAATAACCGTGTTACATTACAGGTGTGAGAAATAGATGAATTCGTACATGTCAGGTCTAAGAACAGTAAAAGGCATGCTGGAAGCAGTAAGTATTAGCTGTTATTATCGGCATCATTATTATTACTACAATATCATTTAAGAAATGGAAGAATAAGTTACAAGCTGAAATTTTATTTCATAGATGTATCATGTTGTTTACAATTAGAACATATATGACTGAGTGGTAATCCTTTCCTGTTCTTTTATTTCTCTGTACTGTCCAACCACCCTTAAAATGCTTTTCATGGATTTCCTGACAATTTCTCTGACATAAGGTGAGGGAAGCGAAAGGAGTTAGATTCCAGATACTTCTCTTTTCCATGCTTAATAAGTCAATTCTTATAAAAACATTTATTTTTTACACACAATGTTCTAAATACAGTGATAGGTCTGGGAGCTGTTATATTAAATAATAAAGACACAGTTCATTTTGTCCATGTATTCTCAGTTTTGTGGGAGAATAAGGTGTTTTAAAAGATAAGAATTCCATAGGGTTATACTCCATGACTAAAGGATCAGCATAATGTTCCAGGAAGGTAGGGATTAGCTTGCTCATTCTCCCCTTCAATCATGTCCACATTTTTGTACTTATCTGGCTACTTATTTCTGTTTCCTGACCCTACATTAAGTCATCATTATTAGCATTATTTGCTCCTCAAACTGTTTGAGTAACTCTTATCCTTTCTTTAACACTTGGCGTATTTGTCACCTTTCTTTGTAGAACTCTGACATCTACAAGCAGAGTTAAAGTTTCTTGTATTCTTAAGCCAACTTTTTATGTGAGAATGGAAATGAAGTTGTAAGTATAATTATAATTTAAAGAAATATATAATGTAGAACACTTACTAAAACATTTTTATTGTAATATCTTTGCTCCTGACACAGTAAGTTTATAAGGAGCTTTAAAAGATATTGTAATAACATCTGGTATATCATTTTTGAGTTGTACTGAGTTTTTAGCCCATGCCAAGTTATAGTCCCTATAGATGTATATTAACATTTTGAAACATCAAAATGAAAGACAGCTTTTCTGGCTTCCATTTTGGAGTTATTTGTGACCTATGCCTAATGAGTAGCAATTGCTGATATGAATTTGTTATACTATCAGAAGCTGAAATATGTATGAATGTTGTAAGAATCATAGAGTATCTCTTGTAATAGCTGTTATAAAATAAAGCGATATGTGTTTGTTCAGCAGGTACACAGTCTCAGTTTGGGATAAAAATTTCTGGAGATGGATGGTGGTGATAGTTGTACAACAATGTGAATTCATTTAATACTACTGAACTGTACATTTAAAAATGTTAAAATTTTATATTATGCATTTCTTATAACAATAAGAAAGTAAAAACAGTGCATTTGAGTCCTCAATAATATTTAAAAACTAGAAAACTGTAGCACATGTGTATACATTTCTATAAATTTGTGTATATTCTTCATCAAGTTTTTAGTCAAAGGCCTGTATTCTTTCATTGAACCTTGAATGATCAATACTGCTGTATTACAAGCTCAAGTGGATGAGGCATTGTGAAGAGAACGTAAAAAACAACTTGTAGCTATTGCTAAGGATGTTACTATAAGGAAGCAAGCATACAAATATTAACATAAATGACAGAATAAAGTAATAGCTATAATTTATGTATAAAAATTTGGGGAATCAGTGGAAGGAAGTATTAATTGTGATCTGGGAAGACTGGACAAGATCATGTTGCAGAAGTGGTATTTGAGCATAGATGTAAATAATTAATAGGATTTGCTGGCTAATCAGTTTAGAATGGTATTTTATTTTATTTTATTTCTTTTTTTTCTTTTTTTATTATTATACTTTAAGTTTTAGGATACATGTGCACAACGTGCAGGTTTGTTACATATGTATACATGTGCCATGCTGGTGTGCTGCACCCATTAACTCGTCATTTTAGCATTAGGTATATCTCCTAATGCTATCCCTCCCCCCTCCCCCCACCCCACAACAGGCCCCAGTGTGTGATGTTCCCCTTCCTGTGTCCATGTGTTCTCATTGTTCAATTCCCACCTATGAGTGAGAATATGCGGTGTTTGGTTTTTTGTCCTTGCGATAGTTTGCTGAGAATAATGGTTTCCAGCTTCATCCATGTCCCTACAAAGGACATGAATTCATCATTTTTTATGGCTGCATAGTATTCCATGGTGTATATGTGCCACATTTTCTTAATTCAGTCTATCATTGATGGACATTTGGGTTGGTTCCAAGTCTTTGCTATTGTGAATAGTGCTGCAATAAACATACGTGTGCATGTGTCTTTAGAGCAGCATGATTTATAATCCTTTGGGTATATACCCAGTAATGGGATGGCTGGGTCAAATGGTATTTCTAGTTCTAGATCCCTGAGGAATCACCACACTGACTTCCACAATGGTTGAACTAGTTTACAGTCCCACCAACAGTGTCAAAGTGTTCCTATTTCTCCACAGCCTCTCCAGCACCTGTTGTTTCCTGACTTTTTAATGATCGCCATTCTAACTGGTGTGAGATGGTATCTCATTGTGGTTTTGATTTGCATTTCTCTGATGGCCAGTGATGGTGAGCATTTTTTCTTGTGTTTTTTGGCTGCATAAATGTCTTCTTTTGAGAAGTGTCTGTTCATATCCTTCACCCACTTGTTGATGGGGTTGTTTTTCTCTTGTAAATTTGTTTGAGTTCATTGTAGATTCTGGATATTAGCCCTTTGTCAGATGAGTAGATTGCAAAAATTTTCTCCCATTCTGTAGGTTGCCTGTTCACTCTGATGGTAGTTTCTTTTGCTGTGCAGAAGCTCTTTAGTTTAATTAGATCCCATTTGTCAATTTTGGCTTTTGTTGCCATTGCTTTTGGTGTTTTAGACATGAAGCCCTTGCCCATGCCTATGTCCTGAATGTTATTGCCTAGGTTTTCTTCTAGGGTTTTTATGGTTTTAGGTCTAACATGTAAGTCTTTAATCCATCTTGAATTAATTTTTGTATAAGGTGTAAGGAAGGGATCCAGTTTCAGCTTTCTCCATATGGCTAGCCAGTTTTCCCAGCACCATTTATTAAATAGGGAATCCTTTCCCCATTGCTTGTTTTTGTCAGGTTTGTCAAAGATCAGACAGTTGTAGATATGCAGCAGTATTTCTGAGGGCTCTGTTCTGTTCCATTGGTCTATATCTCTGTTTTGGTACCAGCACCATGCTGTTTTGGTTACTGTAGCCCTGTAGTACAGTATTTTAGAGAGAAGGAGTAGAACAAACAAAATCACAGAGTTAGGAAGGTGAAAAGTTAAAAGCATAAGATAAGGACAGCACACGCTGGGTGGAGCAATGTATTGCAGTAGTAGACTAGAGAAGGTGGAAAGAAAACCAAGTCACTGAAATAACTAGATAATGTATTGGGTTTTCCTGCAAGTGATATTGTTGAAGTATTGTGCCTAGATGGCTGAGTTGAGCCATTATAGCAGAGAATTGGTCTGACCACTTACATTGAACTTATTTTTGTGTTATTAATATATGAACATCATATATTATTAATAAAAAGGAAAATGGGTAAAAATTTACTTTACCATTTGGTAAAAAGGAAATTGAAACTGAAACCATTTATCTTGAAACAAATAGATAAAAAACATTTATCCTGTTACTTCCAAGGAGACAAGAAGATCAATTTGAACATCTACTATATGCCAGTCACTATGTTAGGCATTTTAAAAATCACATCATATATATTAAGACAGTTCTAGATTTGAGTTCAGTTGGGCTATTTGCTTAGCAGTTTAATCTGCATGCTGTAGTGAAGAATGATAGGAAAATACTTTTAGGTGGAATTTTTACAGGTTCTAGCAATGGATACTCACTTTCTGTTTTGAAAATAAAACTATTCAGGTTAACCCACAGGACTTTATAAAATATTTAATCTTTTACCCAAAGTTATTTAATCCTAGCAATACAAAACTATAAATCTTATTTTAGAGAGCCATATTCTTGTCATCATAAATGCTGTAACTTTGAGTATTCTATTAAATATATGGGTGTATAAATATTTATAAGTTCTTCACTCACTTCTATCACATATTCAAGAATTAAAATTTTCTGATAAAATGCTTGCATGTTTTATTCATTAACACCAAACCTATTTCTACCATGGATTTATATTATAAATTTGAATTATGTTTCTCTTTAAATATTTAGAAATAAACTTATAATAAAAGGTCATAGTTATTATTTCTCATAAAATGTTCAGTAAATTCAGAATATAAAATACAAAAAAGACCATCCTTTTTTCTGCTTTAATGATATTTAGATGCTTAAAATTTTCTAATAAATGTTGAAATCACACATGCTTCATAAAACAACTGTAAGAGCCTTACTGCAGAGAGTGACTATAAAATATGAGGCATGATGAGGCAGTAAGGTAATGATCTTGCCCCTCATGTCAAAAAAGGTTACCAATATTGAAATGTCTTTATTTCTGGTTAAAATGCAATTTTCTAGTAGAGCTTTCATAAAACCTAGTAACATTTACATAATCTCTTCAGCTAAAATGTGAATTTCTCACTCAATCAAAATTACTTTCATACTAAAAGTACATATATTTTCAAACCTGCAGTTCTTCACATTGACTACCTCATATGTGAGAGTTTGGCCACCACAGAGGCTGGAAATATTGAGAGAGAAAAATTACCTTCTGCTCTAGAACAAAAAAAAAACAAAACAAAAACTTCCTGCCATGAGGCCTAGCAAACTGTAATAAACAACACTAGAAATAATGTAAATGAGATAGCTTATTGCACCCCTGGAATGTCTCTTTCCACATAATGCCAAGCCAGAGATGTGGGGCCACAACAACTAAATTTGATTAGTTGGCAGGGAAGCCCAGGAATACCTCACTTTTGTACACAAGTGTGAAGGTGCTCATGATTTGAGTCAGAATTTCAACAGTAGCTTTACAAGACTCTGAATTTGATCCACTTTCTCATAATATCCAAGACAGGAAGAGAGAAACCATCTGTTGGATTACCAAGGTAGAAATCGCATTATAATGTGAAAAATTAGCCATAAGGTCTGAGTCAGTTGGACCATCACTGCAGGTCTGTCACACAGCAGAAAATAAACTCTGACAAATGCACACCATCCTCAGGATAGCAGTCAATCAAATTCAGCCCAAATATGCTCACTTTAAACATACGGACTTAATAAAATTACTAAGTTCTTTTTATGGTGATGCCTGAAATTGTCCAGTGTGAAATTATCCAGTATTAGAGCATGAGTTGCTGTTCTTTGTAACTACAGTACAATGATGTCATCATGTGCTTGACATCAACATGATGTCAACCATGGAAACTGAGTAATTTAAATCCCGCTTTGGGGAAAAATGTGTGCAATGACCATGCTCCCTAGTGCATTAGATCTACAAACTGATGTCTAAATTAAATAAACCATCAGTATAACAAGTAAAAGATATATAATTTTGTGGTACAACATAAGCTAAACATAGATATGGAGTCCAGTGAGCTCTGAAAGAGTGCCATGAATACAGAAATGAAAGACTGATTCAGACCCTTCCTTTTCTTTTCTCCTCAACACACATCTCTGCTCCAGCTCCCTGTGCTCATGAAACTGCTGAAACATCATCTGAAACATTTCTATGCCATTCGAGTCTTAACTATTATTCTAGACTCACCTCATCAACCACAAATGAAGCCTTAGCTATCTCAACTGTACTTATTTCTAACGTTCCCAACTTTGAACACATACAGTTGTTTCTTAGTGCCCAGGGGGAGCTGGTTCCAGGACCCCCATGGATACCAAAATCAGACCATTATCAAGTCCCTTATGTAAAATGATGCAGTACTTGCATGTAACCTACTCATATCCTGCCATGTACTTTAAATCATCTCTAGATTCCTTATAATACCCAATGAAATGTAAATGCTATGTAAGTACTTATTATATTGTATTGTTTAGGGAGCCATGACAAGAAAAAAATGCGTGTACGTATTCAGTACAGACACAACCATCCATTTCTTTTTTCTCTCAAATATTTTCCATCCATATTTGGTTGACTCCATGAATGCAAACCCCAGAGAAATGGAGGGCCAATTGCATATCATTTCTTTGTCATAGAAAGTAACTGCTTAAAGTCACAGTTTGAAGTTACTTTCTATGATATGCATTTCTGTATTTGATCATAACCTATCATATGTTCTGATCAGCTTACACACTACCAACTTTTGAAAACATTCTCTCTTCTATCTCCCTCAGGGATCAGTGCCTCTCCTATGTACTATCCGAGTATTATATTGCCACTATTTATTTTTCTGATAGCACTTTGTATACTGCATTTTACTGCAAGTTCCCTAAAGGAATGCACGTTGTATTTCTCTTCAGTGTATCCCCAGCATCTAACAGAGTATCTAGAACAGATTGCTGCTCCATAAATGTTTGTTGAATGAATGACAACTCATTTTCTAAACTCTAGCAGCTTTTAAGACAAGCAAGGACAAAAGTGTGTCAAATAAATAATAAATCTGGACTTTGAATAAAGAATTTTTCATGAAGAGAGACATTATTCAAAATGATTATTTACATAAGGGGAGGGCCACTATGACAGTAAGGTGAGGGGTGTTTTGCGAAAGGAAGAAAAAGTAGGGAAAGGGCTTTTATGCTCTGACCATAAGGACCATAAGGTCTGTGAGTGCCCCAAAGGTCAGGCAGAAAAACACTTTTCTTTTCTGAAAAGGAATAAACCAGGCAAGAAACAATCAGGGTTACGAAGTGAGATGGGCAATGTTATGATCTGACAGTTAACATTTTTTCCTGAGGTTAGCAGATTTGGGAGGAGTTGTTAAGAAGGGCTTGTTCTGAGTTTTGTTGCTTGCTTTTTCCAATGCCTGGTCAAAGTCCAAGGGCCTAAGGGAAGAAGAAAAACTCACGAAAGTTTGGCCAAGCCAAGTTAGTAGATAATTATTTTGTACGAATTGGTCACTAGGTACAAACAATTCAGTGGATCATTTATAAGGCAAAGAGTGGGAGTTTGGAGAGTGTGTGTCTGATTTCACTATATTTAAGAAAGGGCGGCATCCATGTGTCTTATCTAAGTCATAAGGGGAAGGGTAGTTATTTGCAGTAAGCATTTCCTAGAACAGGGGTCCTCAATGCCCAGGCCACAGACAGGAATCCTTCCATGGCCTCTTAGGAACCAGGGCTCAGAGCAGGAGGTGAGCAGCGGATGAGCAAGCGAAGCTTCATGTGTATTTATAGCCAGTCTCCATAGCTTGCATTACCACCTGAGCTCCGGTGGCATTAGATTTGCATAGGAGTGCAAACCCTATCGTGAACTGCACATGCAAGGGATCTAGGTTGTGCACTCCTTATGAAACTCTAATGCCTGATGATCTGTCACTGTCTCCCGTCACCCCCAGATGGGACTACCTAGCTTCAGGAAAACAAGCTCAGGGTACCCACTGGTTCTACATCATGGTGAGTTGTATAAGTCTTACATTCTATATTACAATGTAATAACAATAGAAATAAACTCCACAATAAAAGTAATGCACTTGAATCATCCTGAAACCATCACCCCCACCCCCAGCCCCACTGCCCTGGTTTATGGAAAGATTGTCTTCCATGAAACTAGTCCCTGGTGCCAAGAAGGTTGGGGACTGCTAGAACACAACAAAGTGGGGTAATTTCTTAACTGTTGCTGCATTCCAGAACATTCAGGCAAAGTTTAACATTGTCAATGTAAAGTGAATATTTGGCCCCAAGTCTTGCCATTTGGCAGGCACTGTGACCATTTCTGAAAACAACACTTCTCTGACTGGTCAGAAATCTAAAGGATAGCCTCAATTTGGTTAATCTTATAATGGGGAGACAACTGTTCAAGTAGAAGGGAAAGCAAGTGTGAAAATCTTGAGAAAAGAAATAGCAATGCATCGCCTGGGAATGAAAAGAATTCTAGTCCCATAGAAAGTATTTTTTTTGAAAGTATAAACAAATTATATAATCTCTGGGTGAAGAAGCTATTTTAAAGATGAAATTGGAAGCCAACTGAAAAAAGTATTAGTTTGGCTTTATGAAAAATAGAAATTTCTAGAAATCAAAGAATATTTGTAGATTCAGTCTTTTCTCTTCTCTGCCTTGCTTAGTGTTCCAGGAGACTGACTTCTGTCGATGACAACACTGGGTTTCCACCCCCTTCTGGCTTCTGGATTACTTGGGCTAAGGGGAGGTACCAGCGGGAGAGCAGAAGGCTCCTTTCCATGGCTCCAGTGCTTGCTGGACTCTGGTAACATCTTTCCCTCTTGTCTCTCTAGGCTTAGAGATGGTAACAGCTCCCTGCTGTTGGTAATTCTTGGGTGTTTCATTATCCGTTGTTTTGTCTCTTAACCCTTCTCATAGTTCTGTAAACTTATTAAACTCTTTTAAATGAAACCTTTGGGTATGCCATCTGTTTTCTGCAGTGATCCAGACTGAAACATCATAACCAAAACAGCAAGTGACAAAATTGGAAAGAAAATGCAACTTGTATTACAGAAGAGTTTGAATCTATTTTATAGGTGCCATGTTGAATTTTATAGAGGAGTTCTTTACAACTGTTACAAAAATAAAAGATGACTATCTAAACAAAAATTAAAAAGTGATCAGAATATTTTTTAAATTAACATTACTAGATAACTAAGATGTCCAAATGCTTGAAGCACAGTAGAATTTAATTTTATGTGAATTGCTATATTACCTGAATTTGCGACCAAAATTATTCTACTTATAAGAAAAATTAACAAATGTGATATAATAAGTAAGCTTCATACAAATATACTTTATACATTTTTAGTAAGATTAAATTCTGCAGCACAGAGGTCACTGATCTGCCACCTTGGGCAACGAGCAGTTTGAATAGAATTGTTAAAGAGGAAGACGTTTTACAGTGGCTTGAGGAGTAAACAAAAGGCACGAGAGATAGCCAGTGTACACCGTCCTTTTAACCCTCTACAAAGGCTACCTTGAAAAATTCACTCCTTATAGAGTCAGTCATTTTCTTCTTGGTGAATATATAGCACCTTGCATATGATTTTAATAAGCTTATTTTTTATTGCTTCCCTATTGTGAAGTCCTTGAGGACATTTTTTAATAATGTCTGGAACAAAATATATATTTAGTAAATGGTTCTTGAATGAATAAGCAAATAATATGGACAGTAAAACAGAGGGAAGGAATGTGAGACTGTCCTCTCTGGGATTCTGGTGGCACTTTAGGTAGTAATTGATTCTGGAAGAGATCTGAAGTCTATTGCATACAAGCTGGAAATTCAGAATCAGAGTCACAGAGTAAGGACTAGTAAGGAAACAGGCTTATGAGCAATATTTAAAGTAGTAAATTTATCATTATCTGAGTTATATCTTAAATTTATTCACATAATTGAACTTCTTTTATGCTTTCTTGGGTAGTCAAAGTCTTATCAAAAAACAAGCACAAAAAAACAAAACAGGATAATGTATATGTATGTGTATATTCTTGAAAATTGTGTACCTAACTGTGAAAATGTGTGTGTTTTGTGAGTGTGTAAGAAAGACAGAGAGAGTGGGAGAGCACTCCAGGGTTCAGTCAGGGTAGCAGAGCACAAGAAGTGCTGTGGGATGGTTGGGATAAGAGATTCATAATAGGAATTGGACTTACACAGTTGTCAAAGGAGCTGGGAAAGTGAATGGTCAGAATGGGTAACTGAAGGATTAGAGAAAAATCATAGCTTGCCAAGAAAACTGAAGAGCCAAGTCCAACTGCCTATGTGGAACTGTGAAGGGGAAGCTCACAGAGAGACCCACGTGCAGCTGTGCCCCTCTGTAACCAGTGCTTCGGTGGGTCCATAGTCAAGTGTATGGTGATGGACCTGACCACTGGATAGCAGGAAGATGAGTTAGACAAAAAACAGAGGAAATAAAAGAGAAGCTGTAACCCTTCATGAACCTCCATGTCTGACAGTCACTATCTCTGATCGTGAAGACCTTCAGAGAATGGTGTCAGCTGCTTCACTTCTTTCCTTTCTTTTAACCAACTCACACTTGGACCAGAGGAGGACCAGCATTCATGGAAATGCAATTCTCATCTTATCCAAACTGACCATACAGCAACCTGGCACAGTGTGTATATAAACTGCCCAACATCTAGCACAATCAGTAACAGCCATTATGATTGTCTTTATGAAGAAGGGTATTGTCAAGTGAAAGAAGATTTTTTAAACTATATTGAAATATTTTACATGACAAAGTAAGCACTCTCTCTCTCTCTCTTTTTTTGAGACAGAGTCCTTCGTTGCCTAGGCTGGAGTGCAGTGCCCTAATCTTGGCTCACTGTAACCTCTGCCTCCGAGGTTCAAGTGATTCTCATGCCTCAGCCTCCCAAGCAGCTGGGATTACAGGCACGTGACAACACTCACAGCTAATTTTTGTATTTTAATAGAGACAAGGTTTCACCATGTTGTCCACGTTGGTCTCGAGCTCCTGACCTCAAGTGATCCACCTGCCCCGACCTCCCAAAGTGCTGGGATCACAGATGTGAGCCACCATGCCTGGCCAGCACAAACTTTTTCACTGATTTCCAACCCTGGTTACAGTCAACTAATTTAATGTTTCCTTTAAGGTAAATTACTTTTGCATATTCAAGAATTTTATGTAGGAAGATTTACATTTTAAGTACTGTTTTGTGTCTGGTTTCTTTTGATCAGCATCATCATTTTAAGATTTATCCAAGTTACATTTTGCAGCTCTTTTTTTTTTATTGTGAGTAGTAAGCTATGTATGGATATTGACTCAGACGTATAACTCGATTTGTTTGTTGATTCAACTATTATGAGTCAACTGCCCATTAATATTCCTATAAAATTCTTCGTGTGGTCATATACTTTCATTTTCTTGGTTAAGTACTTAGGAATGGGATTGCTGGGTTGCCTGGCTTTGAAGAAACTGGAAACAATTTTCCAAAGAGGTTATATCATTTTGCACTAGCAATACTGAAGATATCCAGTTGCTTGATATCTTCCCCAACATTTGGTACTGTAAGGATTTTTTTTTATTTTAATTTTAGACTTTCTAGTGTGTGGCAGGTGGTGTCTCATTGTAGTGAAATTTGCATTTCCTTGATGTCTAAAAAAGAAAGTCTTTTTTATGTTTTTTGTCCATTCATTGTCTTCTCCTGCGAAGTGTTTTCTTCGCCCATTTAAAATTTTTGCTCCTCTTTTTCCTTATTATTGAATTGTAAGAGTACTTATATAATCTTTATACAATTTCTTTGTCCAGTTATGGAGTTTCAGTATTTTCTCCTGTCTATGGCTTGGCTTTTTATTTAATTGGCAGAGTATTCTAAAGAACAAAAAGTTTTAATTTTGACAAGTTGCAATTTAGCAATTTGTGATGGTTTATACTTTTGTTTTCTAATCAAAAATTATTGTAATCCCAAAGTGGTATTCTTGTATATTCTTCAAGAAGTTTTACAGTTTCCATTTTTACATTTAGATGTATGATTCATTTCAAGTTAATTTGTGTATATGGTGTGAGCTAAGGGCTGAAGCTTGTTATGTTTAAATTGGAGATCCAATTCTTCCAGTACCATTTCTTGGATAAACTATTCTTTCCCTATTGAATATCTTGGTACATTTGCAAAGTATTGATTGAGTATTTATATTTCTAAGTTGTCTATTTTTTCCACTGACCAATATCTCTACTCATATTACTACTGTCATGACTACTATAGCCATATAATAATTCATGAAATGAGGTACTCTAAATCCTCAAAGTTTGTTATTTTTCAGAATCGTTTCAGTTATTCTGGGTCCTTTTAATTTTCTATATAAATTCCATCAATGTCAGTTCTTCCATTCTAAGGTTACTATTTTTTCCTTCCCGAATTTAGTCTTTGGAGGTAAATCACTAAGTGTAGCAAATCCTCAAGGGGCTTCAGGGATTAGGTTTCACCTCTCAGAGGGGGAGATTTCTTGTTTGGAATTCTGTAGAGAAGGTCTGCATGCCTCCCTCATTTATTTTTTATTCAATCATTTATTTATATCATCATGGATTCATGTATATTTATTTTATACTTTAGTTGTTCATGCTTAATACAATCCTTAATGTGGTTGGGTTCATGTTTATAGACTACCTTTTTGCTATTTACTTTTCCTCAGTCCCACATTTTGTTTCCTTTTTCCTCTTTTCTGGTTTTCTTTTGATTTGAATGTATTTTATGATTCCATTTTATCACTAATATTTGCTTATTAGCTGAACATGTTTGTCTTATTTAATGTTGTTGCTTTAGTGATAGTGATATATTTATACAAAGATATAGATTGGTATATGTCTAGTAAAATGCATCTTTAACTTATTACAATCTACATTCAAATTATATTATACCATTTCATCTACAATTTAAGCATCTTACAACAGAATATTTTTATTTACCTCCTGTATATTGTGCTAATGTCATATATTTTCTTATAAACCTCAAAATATTATTGATCTTTATAAAAGTATGGTTCACTTTTCATTTTAAATATTTATTTAAAAAACTAAAATATATTTTAAAGGTTGTTTTTTAAAAAGTCATGATATTTACCACATATTAACTATTCCTGACATTCTTCATTCCTTTCCGTAGATCCTAGTTTCTCTTTTTTTCTTCAACCTCAGAGTCCCTTTAGCATTTCTCATAGTGCACAGCTGTTGCTAATGAATTACCTCGGATTTTGTTTGTCTGAAAATGTTTTTATTTCACTTTCAATTTTGAAGGATATTTTGCTGGATATAGAATTTCAAATTGACAAGATTCCCCCCCACACTTTTGCAGTTTAAAGATGTCATTATACTGTAACCTGTTTCACATTGTTTCAAGAAGGAGTCTACATTTTTTCTAATTTAATCTCCTCTCTGTGATATATGTTTTATCCCTAGATGTTTTTCAGATGTTCTCTTCAACCCTGATTTCATTAATTTGATTTTTATATTTCTTCTTGTGTCATTCTTTCTGTTTATACTTCTTGGGTTTCATTGGACTGCTTGGATCTCTGTTGGTTTATAATTTTCATGAAATTCAGATATTTTTGGCCATTATTTCTTTAAATATTTTCCTCTGCAACTCCTGAAACCCAATTTCATACGTATTAGATGTTAGATCTTTTGAAGTTGTATCACAGGTAATTGAGGCTGTCATGTCCTTTTTAAATCTTTTAATGCTGAGCTTCATTTTGTAGGCTTTTTTTAAATTGACAAATTATAGTTGTGTATATTTATGGGGTACAATGTGATGTTTTGATATATGTATACAATGCAGCATGACTAAATCAAGCTAATTAAGATATCTATCACCTCACTTACCTATATATTTTAGACATTGAAATTTATGATATTAGAAATTTACTTTTAGTTTTGAAATATGTAATGCATTATCATTTACCATAGTCACCCTCTTATGCAAAAAACCTCAGAACATATTCCTCCTATCTCTCTGAAACTTTGTACCCTTTGATCATTACTGCATGACCTCACTTATATGTGGAATCAAAGTGCTTCTTTTTGAATAGTTTCTTGCTATTTCTTGAAGTTCACTACCTTTTCTTCTTAACTGTTGTTATGCTTTTCCAGCTAACATTTAACTCAAATACTGAGCTTTTATCTCTAGAATTTCTGTTTTGGTATTTTGCATGTCTTTTATCTCACTTTTTATTATACTCATGTTTTCCTTTAAATCTTGAGCATCTTTATAACAGTGTCTTATTTTACTGCCAATTATGCTGTCATTTTTTTAGTCTGTTTCAATAAACTTCATTTTTGTACTTGTCACAGTTCACATTTGCCTGCCTTTCAGATGTCTAGTAATTTTTCGTTTGATGGTAGACATTCTGATTATTTTGTTGTTGAGTTATTATATTTTGTTGTGTTTCTTGAACCATTTTCAAGCTTTTGCTATTAGGCAATAACACTACTTGCTAATCATTTTCAAATTTTAATAAATTTTTCTTTTTAGATTTGTAAGGACAAATATAGAGTAGCTTTCACCCTAGATCTATTGCAACCCTACTTCCTCCAATACATCACCATTCTTGGATCCCTAATGAATGTCCGAAGTATTCAATGTGTTCTCTTAACTCTGGTTGATTGGTACTCAGATATCTCTCAGCTCTGTGGACTCTAGAACTTGTTCACATAACAGCTTCCTCTGAGGTTTTACTCACTATGTATATCTTAGGATTTGTCAGCAGACTCAAAATAAACCCAATGCATATTTCTGGTGCTCATCTTCTACATAGCTCCTCCTTTCTGAAGAGATTCACTCTATATATGTGATTCTTAACACTCAGCAAATATTCAAGGATTACCTATGCAAATTTTTGGAGCTTTATTTCTGTGTATTTTTCTATTCTCCTGAACACTGCATCACAATTCTCGTTACCTCAACCTCCCATACAGTTCATCTCTATCTTTTCTTTTTTCTTTTTTTTTATTATACTTTAAGTTCTAGGGTATATGTGCACAACGTGCAGGTTTGTTACATATGTATACATGCGCCATGTTGGTGTGCTGCACCCATTAACTCGTCATTTAACATTAGGTATATCTCCTAATGCTATCCCTCCCCCCTCCCCCAACCCCACAACCGGCCCCGCGGTGTGATATTCCCCTTCCTGTGTCCATGTGATCTCATTGTTCAATTCCCACCTATGAGTGAGAACATGCGGTGTTTGGTTTTTTGTTCTTGTGATAGTTTGCTGAGAATGATGGTTTCCAGCTTCATCCATGTCCCTACAAAGGACATGAACTCATCATTTTTTATGGCTGCATAGTATTCCATGGTGAATATGTGCCACATTTTCTTAATCCAGTCTATCATTGTTGGACATTTGGGTTGGTTCCAAGTCTTTGCTATTGTGAATAGTGCCGCAATAAACATACGTGTGCATGTGTCTTTATAACAACATGATTTATAATCCTTTCGGTATATACCCAGTAATGGGATTGCTGGTTCAAATGGTATTTCTAGTTCTAGATCCCTGAGGAATCACCACATTGACTTCCACAATGGTTGAACTAGTTTACAGTCCCACCAACAGTGTAAAAGTGTTCCTATTTCTCCACATCCTCTCCAGCACCTGTTGTTTCCTGACTTTTTAATGATTGCCATTCTAACTGGCCTTCCTTACACCTTATACAAAAATTAATTCAAGATGGATTAAAGACTTACATGTTAGACCTAAAACCATAAAAACCCTAGAAGAAAACCTAGGCAATAACATTCAGGACATAGGCATGGGCAAGGACTTCATGTCTAAAACACCAAAAGCAATGGCAACAAAAGCCAAAATTGACAAATGGGATCTAATTAAACTGAAGAGCTTCTGCACAGCAAAAGAAACTACCATCAGAGTGAACAGGCAACCTACAGAATGAGAGAAAATTTTTGCAATCTACTCATCTGATAAAGGGCTAATATCCAGAATCTACAATGAACTCAAACATATCTACAAGAAGAAAACAGCCCCATCGAAAAGCGGGCAAAGGATATGAACAGACACTTCTCAAAAGAAGACACTTATGCAGCCAAAAGACACATGAAAAAATGCTCATCATCACTGGCCATCAGAGAAATGCAAATCAAAACCACAATGAGATACCATCTCTATCTTTTCAACTCATGAATGGCTTATTGTTCAGCAGCAGACTCATGAGGACCTCTACTCAGAGCTCTGGAACATTTTCTTTAAGGAGGTTCCTCTTCTTTTGTGCTCTGCTTCACCAATTCTAGCTGCCTTAGCTTTCCTAAACTCTTATTTTTGCTGATAAATTAAGCAAGACCCCTTTGCATTTCCTGTTTCCTCCCTTCCTTCACTACTGACTAAAACATGCTTCCAAAAAGAAACTTGGGGTATTCATAGGAAACATCTGGTTTGTTATTTTTTTTTTTTTTGTCTTAGGGATCACAGTGCTGTGCTGCATGTTCACGGGAAACTAAATAATAAGAAAAAATAGTATAACTCCAAACTATTTGAGGGAAATATTATAAAAACAAAATTTTCTCAATCAATAAAAAGTGAAGAATTGAGAAATTTTTTAAGTGGTTTAAATAGAACAAAAGTGTTACGCTAAAACACAACTATGTAATAAATACTGAAAGTTCTAATTAAAATAAAGAAATATGTGATGATAAAAAATCTGATCATATTCAGTTAAGAAGATAGTAACATAAAGATACAAAGTATTTAAAATGAAATAGACTTGAAAACAAAAAAAAGTGTTATTTACAATCAAGAAGGAAAACTTTCAATGAGAAAATGTAGTTCATCAGGAATATACAATGATTCTGAATTTGAATGCACTTTAATATGTCCCAAAAATACATAAAGCAAAATTTGGCACATCCCCAAGTAGAGATAAACAAATCAACAACAGTAGATTTTTTTATACATCACTTTCTGCAGTGATAGTTAGTGGACCAAAAAAAAAAAAAAAATAGTAGGCATGTAGAAGATTTGAGCAACACAACTTATACATATCACCTAAGGAATAGGTATAGAACATTACATCAAAAAATTGTACGGAATATTTCTTTTTTTTTTTTTTTGGATGGAGTCTCGCTCTGTCGCCCAGGCTGGAGTGCGGTGGCGCGATTTCCGCTCACTGCAAACTCCACCTCCCGGGTTCACGCCATTCTCCTGCCTCAGTCTCCCGAGTAGCTGGGACTACAGGTGCCCTCCACCACGCCCAGCTAATTTTTTGTATTTTTAGTAGAGACGGGGTTTCACCATGTTAGCCAAGATGGTCTTGATCTCCTGACCTCGTGATCCACCCGCCTCGGCCTCCCAAAGTGCTGGGATTACAGGCGTGAGCCACCACCCCCGGCCCGGGAATATTTTACTTTTAACAGCACATAGAGCACTTTAATATATTGAGCCTAAAAAATACTGACACATATTTCAAAAGATTGAAATAGTTTGTGGTTTCTGAGTACAACGCAACTATGCCAAAAGTCAGTTACAAAGATATATATCTTTGGAAATGTTAAAGATATATTTTCAAATAACCCATTGGTCAAAATAGAAATGTTAAAAGAAAATCTTTGGAATTCAACACTTATGAGAATACTACATATTATACATTTTTACATGCAGCCTAATCAGTAGTTTTTTGTCAGCAGTCTGTAAGCGTTTTTTTTTTTTCTGATCTAAACTTGCAGCTGAGAAGTCCAATGCAAGTATGACAGTTATCTCTATGTAAGTAACCTGTTGGTTTCTATTTAGAAGCCTTTAAGATAGTCTGTTTATGCTTAAAGATAAAAAAGTCAGAATATGCATCAGGATGTAAAGATTTAGGTCTCTCTTTTTCTTTAAATTCTGTTCAACGTTGATCAGCCTCTTATTTGACAATCAAGTCATCCTTCAAGTTGAAGAAGTTTTCTGCATTTTGCCCCCTTTATTAGTTTTCTTCATTATTCTCTTAAGTGTTTTAAACTTTATACATGTATTTATAATGTCTCCTCCATGACTCATATTTTCACTCACGATTTACACTTTTTGATGTTCCTTACTCTGATAGGACAACACTATTCGACTTTACAGATTCTTGCAATTAGCTCTCAGCAAGTACATTCCTTTTTATTTCCTTTCTTGAATTTTCAAAATGTGGAATCCAATTTTTAGTTCTAGAATATTTTTTATTCCTCAAACTGCATTACTTTGAGATATGTCATTATCAATCTATTTAGATTTCTTTTCATTTTCTTCTACCTCTGAGAGTGATCCATTTGAATAGTGCTGCTTGGTGTATTAATTTGTGGGGGGGCTCTAATTTGCAGTGGGGGATTGTTAAAGATAAAATATCCGGTAGAAGTTTAAATTTTAGTAGTCTCTAGATGCTGTACTTTTGTGCTGGAGTACATTTATTAAGGTGAGGATTTAGTAGGTGTCTCTGATCTCTAGTTAATAAAGATATGAGTGGGATATCGTAATTCCTTTCTTAACACAGTGAATGACAACAGTGCAGTTCTCACAAAATACCACTATTGGGCTGCAACTAGAACAATGTGTGTGTGTGTGTGTGTGTGTGTGTGTGTGTGTACTTTGTATTTATAAATGCATATTATTTGTATTTCTAATAATTATTTATTTAAGATAAGTACTGTCTTATTTTTATTAGATTCTCATTTTTATTAGACATAAAATTGTATATATTTAAGATGTGCAACATGATTATTTGCTATACATACATATTGTGAAATAATTACAGTAATCAAGTTAACACATCTACCAACCCATGTAATTTTTGTGTGTGTGTGCGCATGTGTGTGTGTGGCTGGAATACTTAAGATTTACTCATATTGTGAACTATGTTCACTATGGTATACACTAAATTATCAGACTTGTTCATCTTACAATCAAAAGTTTGTATCCTTCATCAGCATTTCCCCATTTCTCCGATCCCCCAGGCCCTGGAAACCACCATTGTACTCTCTGCTTCTATGAGTTTAACTATTGTAGATTTCACATATAAGTGAGATTATACAGTAGTTGTCTTTCTGTATCTGGCTTATTTTACTTAGTGTGATAATAATAATGATGCAAATCACCGGACTCCCTTTTTATGGCTGAATATTATTTTATTGTGTATGAAGATATATATAATCACAGTTTTTAATATCTCTTCTCTGTCAAAACACACAGGTTGTTGCCGTATTTTGGCTATCGTGAATAGTGCTGAAATAAACATGGGAGTGCAAATATCTCTTCAAAATACTGAGTTCATTTCCTGTGGATACATAAGTAGAAGTGGAATTGCTGTGTCGTATGTTAGTTCTATTTTTCAGTTTTTGGGGAATGTTTGTACTATTTTCCATAATGCTTGTACCAACTTAAATTTCCACCGATGATATATGTGTTCCCTTTTCTTCACATGCATACCAAGACTTATCTGTTTTTTGCCATTGATAATGGCCATCCTAACATGTGTGAGGTGATACATCATTGCAGTTTTCATTTGCATTTCACATATAAGTAATGTTGTGTAACATTTTTTCATATGCCTGTTGGCAATTAGTCTTCTTTGGATAAATGTCTAATCAGGTCCTTTGCCCATTTTAAAACTGGGTCTTTTGTTTTTTCTGTTAGTGAACTGTAGGCATTTTCTAAGTATTTTGGATATCAACCCCTTATTAGATATATGGTTTGCAAGCATTTCTCTCATTCTGTGGGTATCCTTTTCACTCTGTTGATTCTTTATTTTGCTATGCAGAAGCTTTTTGGTTTGATGAAGTTTGACTTGTTTATTTTTGCTTCTGTTGCCTGTTCTTTTGGTATCATTTTCAGTAAATCATCACCAAGGTCAGTATCAAGTAACCTTTCCACTGTTTTCATGTAGGACTTTTATGGTTTCAGGTCTAACAATTTAGGCCTTGGATTTATTTTGATTGGAGTTTTGTGTAGTGTAAAGTATGGATTTGATTTCACTTTTTTGCCTTTGGATATCCAGCTTTCCCAACACCATTTATTGAAAAGATTATATATTACCCACTGTGTATTCTTGGCACACTTGTGAAAGATTAGTTGATCATATATGTGTGAGTTGATTTCTGGCTTCTATGTTCTGTTCCATTGGTCTTTGTGTCTTGTTTATTTTCCTAGATGGCATGATATTTCATGTAGAAAACCCTAAATATGCAACCCCCAAATGACTAGAACTAATACACAAATTTAGTAGAGTTGCCTGATACAAAATCAATGTTAAAATCAATTGTAAGTCTATATATTAACAATTAACTATCCAAAAAAGAAATTAAGAAAACAATCTCCATGAAAACAGTATCAAAAAATAAAATATTTGGAAATAAATTTAACTAAGATGATGGAAGATATGTACACTGAACACTATAAGTAATTGATTAAAGAAATTGAAGAAGACATAAATAAAATAAATATATACCATGCTCCTGGATTGGAAGAATAAATATTGTTAAAATATCTGTATTACCTACAGTGATCTACAAATTCAAGACAATCCCTATGAAAATTCCAATAGCATTTTTTCACAGAAATAGAATAAACAATCTTAAAATTAGTAGGCAACCACAAAAGACCCCAGAGAGACAGAGCAATTTTGAGAAAGAAGAGCAAAGCTGGAAACATCACACATCCTGATTCCAAACTATGTTACAAAGCTAGACTAATCAAAACAATAGGTACTGTCATAAATACTGTCTTACTCTTAAATCCCTGATTTTATTAGCTGCTTTTGCTGAGTGGGGCTTGGTTAACTCTTTTAAATTTTTGTAAAAATGTTTTTCTCTGAGTCTTTTTTGAATAAGAGCTTTATTGAGATATAATTTACATACCATAAAATCTACCACTTTAAAGTGTACAATTCTGTGTTTAGTATATTCACAGAAATTTGCAACCATCACTACTATCTAATTTTAGAGTATACCTACCGATCCAAGAAGAAATTTGTCCACCAAAAATAACAACAGAGAGAGGCAGGCCCTCTGTTGGGGAATAGTAGGGAATTGCAATTTGAGATATGGATGCTATGATGGATTATAGGTACATCTGAGGAGGCTGGGGTATGGAGGAGCATTTAAAGACAAAAGCAAGAAGCACATATAAGTTGTCTTGAAACAAAGAGAACATTGGCATGGGGGCTTCTTGCAGGAGTTGACATCAGTTCATTAGTGGAAAGTGTGTCAAACAAGTGTTCTTGTGCAAGGAGCTAGCTGTTCTTGTGTTGCTAGCTGTTCTTCTCCCGATTTTTAATCAAGTTATTCATTTAACAAATTTTTGTGTTTTAGAAGTTTTGGGTTTGCATATTTTGGAAGATAGCCAAATACTACTAGCCAAGACATCAGATATGTCTTTCACAATCATTTTATCCAAGTCAGGTGGCTTGTCTTCTCATTCTTTTCCTCGCCTTCATTTTTGAAGAATAATTTTGCTGGAAATTGAATTTTAGACTGTTGACTTTTTTTAATCAAGCATTTTAAATACTTCCCTCTCACTAAATTCTTGCTTGTATGGTGTTACCATACAAGCTTCTTGTGTTACCGTAAAGGCTTCTTGTTTGATGTAATTCTTACCTTTGTCCTTCTATAGATAAGGTGTTTTTCTTTAATTGACTTCTTTTAAGATTTTCCTTTTGTTTTTGATTTTCTGTAGTTTGAATATGATATGTGATATGCCCAGGTATAGATTGTTTTTGGTATTCATGCTCCTTTGTGCTCTGATTTTCTTGCATATGTGGTTTGGAGTCTGTTATTAGTTTTGGAAAATTCCTAGTTATTTTTACTTCAAATATTTCTTCTGTTCTATTGTCTCTTTCTTGTCCTTCTGTTATTCCAACTACAAGTATCTTATACCTTTTGACATTTCCTGACAGTTCTTGGATATTCTGGTCTCTTTTTCTAATTCCTTTTTGTCTTTGCGTTTCAGTTTGAGAAGTTTCTATTGACTTATCTTCAATCTCAATTATTTCCTCATCGAGATCCAGTCTACAGATGTTCCCATCAAAGGCATTCTTCATTTCTTTTACGGTGTTTACATTTGCAGCATTTTATTTTCATTCCATTTTAGAGTTTCCATCTTTCTGTGTACACTATCCATCTGTTCTTAAAAATTATCTCCTTTTTTATGACACCATATTAATTGTAGTTAATGTAAATTCCCTTTAAGATAATCCTGAAATTGGCTTCATAATTGAAGTTAGCTCCCATGCTAGCTTTGTTTCTTTAACATGTGTTTGTGTTGCTTTTAGCATGCCTTGTAATTTGATTTAAAGCTTGACATGATGTATTAGGCAACAGAAGCTGAGACAATAAAACTATAGTGTGAGGTTTTATTTGGTCTATATTCCATGCTTGTCGTAGGTATAGGTAGCAGAGGTTTCACTTCACTCTGATACCCTTGTTTTTCTCTCTCCTGTTGTCTTTGGGTTCCATTAAGAACTTCTTATTAGAGTCTGTGCCTTGCAACTCTTTCATTTGTATTCCACTGTTATTTTACTGGAGAACTGTTTAACTGGTGCTAAGGTGTCGAGGAGAAGCAGTTTTCTGTAACCCTAACATTAAATCTCAATCTTTTAGTGGGCTTGTGTACTGAGGCACTGACCTTTACAAGTTCTTCTTAATTCTTTTCCACCTTTCTAGGAAAAAATAGAAGGGCTACAAATGCTGGATTTATATAATTTCCCTAATCCCAGATTGGATAAGACTGTAATATCTTTTCCCCTGCAGAATAAGCCTTTGCAAAGGAGAATTCTTGGGCATACTTCAAAGTGTTTACTTTTTTCCTTCTTCAGTCAGTAACATGACAATTTTTCCTTGGCTCTTCAAGTGAGAACCTGGTAGGGTTCCTGGAGGTAAAACCCATGAATATGGTGGGTCCTCAAAATATTGGGTCCTCAGTAATTTCTCATTCTCATAAGATTCTATATTTACTCTTCAGCAATTCATCAAAATTACCATTTAGGTGTTTCTCTGGTTTATGGTTCTAGTATCTTCTGTTCTAAGCTGACCTTGGCTGTGATTCTCTGTTATTCTACTGTCTCTTCAGATTTCCAGTTGGTAATTTGCACAGTGGTCTCGATTCTCTAAAAGATTTTAGATATATATACATATATATACCACTGTCCTCCTGTTTGTTAAAAAATCTAAATTTAATTGATAGTAACAAAAACCTAATGATGCATTTGCCTTTAATGACATTTATCCTTTCTAAAATTTAGGAATACACTTATCTCAAATACTTGAACATTTTTTAAAGAATGACTAAACGTAATTTTTAAATTAGTGCTGCATTTTCTTCTATAGTAAATAAATATGTATTTTCAGACTTTATAGTGACTATTATGTATTACCAAAATTAATCCATATTACTGGTATAACTTATCATATTTAACACATACAAACCCATGACAAAAATTATTGCTATAAATATCTCTTAATATGTAAATGAGAATTCTACTGATTCAAGCCTTATCAGGTAATTGCTCAGCTGCTTTTAAAGTGTAATTTATTGATCAGCAGTTTGTAAAGATCTTAGCTTGGTTTGCCTCTGTAGGGTATTTCATTGGCTGGAGTTTGGAAATATAATTTCTGTTTTTATAGAAGTGTCAGTCATGCAGTATCATATGTTATTAAATTCTTCTCTGTGAAGTTGCATGCATAATATTGCAGATTCTTTGGTTTTCTTTTTCAACACTTATTGAGATGTTACGCTTACTTTTTAAAAGTAAACAATCAAATTAAAAAACAACAGATGGTAGAAAGTTAAAAGTTATTGATTTAGTTGTACCTTAGAAATTAATATAGTTGTACCTTAGAAAAAATTATAAGATAATTAGTTCTGTTGCTTTCTCTTCTCTTTTTTCTTTTTCTTTTTCTTTTTTTTTTTTTTTTTTCTGAGATGGAGTCTTGCTGTGTTGCCCAGGCTGGAATGCAGTGGTGCAATCTCAGCTCACTGCAGCCTCTGCCTCCTGGGTTCAAGTAATCCTTCTGCCTCAGCCTCCCAAGTAGCTGGGATCACAGGTGCCTACCACCATGCCTAGCTAATTGTTGTATTTTTAGTAGAGATGGGTTTTCACCATGTTGGCCAGGTTGGTCTTGAACTCCTGACCCCAACTATCTGCCTGCCTCAGCCTCCCAAAGTGCTGGGATTACAGGTGTGAGCCACTGCACCTGGCCTGCTTTCTCTATTCTAACATGTTTAAAATGTGCGAGCATGCAGAATTTGGGAACGTGTTAGGAGGACTAGAGAAAGCAAGATATTTTTGAACATCCCACCAGAAAAAAATAAATTAAATAAATAAATAAATAAATAAATAAATAAATAAATAAATAAAATAAAGAAGTAAGACAAAGAAAAGGCAACCAAACTATTTCATATAAATGATTGAGGAAATTACAAATATGGTTTCACAGGCTAGTCATACAGATCGAATGAGAAGTACATTATTTTCACAATCAGTAAAGGAAAGTAATTCTTGCCACATAAAAGAGTATGAGTTAGTATTTTCTAACGTCTTAAACTCTCTACAACAAACTACGTGCTTCTAAATTCTCCCTGAAGAAAAATCTATCATCCAGGTTTTCAGCACACATAACACAATCCTAAAAATTCAAATAAGCACAAGATACAATATTAGTATAAAAGTGTGATTTTTAAAATTTCAGATTCTGCCCTTAAAGGTACTGCCTACATGAGTTTAAATTCCACCCCCCCCCCCCAAAAATAAGGAATGGGTAAAGAAATTAGGTAAATTCTCATGTCAATGCAAATTTTTTTCTTGACCTCAATTGCTTGGGGAAATTAGAATAGACTCCATGAAGTGTCTTCTAAGCAGGAAAGTATGATAAATAATTTTTTCATCTATACAGTGATGTGTAATAACTAATTGAAGGCAACAATTAATAATGATAGTAAAAAGCCAGTAGTATTTAATACAGCCTCCTTATCTTCCTCCTTTTCTTTTTAAACACTTCAGAAAGTATAACTATTTGTCAATGGGTTATCGAGCAGCTGGAGAATTTTCACTCACCAAATCAAGGTAAAACCAAAGGGATATTAGCTACTCTAATAAATGACAATCTACTTTATTGTATCATCTTACTATACAGATAAAAATTTTTCATCCAGATTGTAAAGATTCTCTCCCTCTCTGTCTCTCTCTCTCACACACACACACACACACACACACACACTCTCTCTCTCTCTCTCTCTGTCTCTCTCTTTCTCTCTCTCTCTCTTTCTCTCTCTGTCTCTCTCTTTCTCTCTCTGTCTCTCTCTCTCTCTTTCTCTGTCTCTTTCTCTCTCTGTCTCTCTCTCTCTCTTTCTCTCTCTGTCTCTCTCTCTCTTTCTCTCTCTCTCTCTCTCTCTCTCTCTCTCTTTCTCTCTCTGTCTCTCTCTCTGTTATGGGGACTGTTTTCTGTGGCAGACAGTGTCATTTCTTGAATTAGTTTTTCACATGAATTCATCTTTTATTAGAGCAACTCAGAGGTTACTGGATTGTACCACCAACAAAAAGGAGTAAGAGGAAAATAAAAATAGGAGGCACTTTACACTGGGTAACTTAGTATGAAGGAAATTAAATTGGAACAGTTCAAGGGCCAAAGCATTTTAGAAGTTTTATGCATTTCTTTGTCCATTTATGCAATTGAAGAAAAATTATATATCTCCTTCAGATCATACTTGGGGAAATAATGATAGTAAGAAATTCATGTAGTAGGAATAGGAAATCCTTCCTCAGCCTATAAAATTCACCCACAATAAGGTGCTAACACATGAGAAATACACTTAAAAATTAAGCACATATAGCACATATTTGGCTTAACATTCAGGGGAATACTGTACATCAGCAAGATGACAAAATCGGAGGCTCCAGACTTTTCCTCCCTCCATGGACACACTAAATAAGCAGCTACACATGAATCAGTGGACAGGACCTTCACTTTGGCCACTGAGAATACAGACAGCAAAGCAACAATTTGAAAAAGCATCTGGTTTGAATAAGCATGCAGGCATTTGCCAGATCTCCTCTCCCTGGCCCAGTGCAGAGCAAGTGGATAATAAACTCCACATCTCAGCTTCTCTCTGAGGAGAAAATAAATTGTACCATAAATCTAGAACTCTGACTTTTCTGGCATTGACTTGAGAAACCTGTCTCAGGCACTAATGGGATTTGGCATACTTTAGACTCCTGAGGGCCACTAAGATTGAAGACAGCAGGTTGAATAAGCATAAAGATTTGAGAGGGATGCACAATATCTTGCTGGGCCAGTTGGTGGGAATTGTCTTCTATATGAGGACAGTCTTTAATGATTGGTAGAGGGGGTTGATTTATAATATTTAATGTGCAGACACCAGCACAGAGGATCAAAGAAAATGAATAAACAGAGAAATATGTTCTAAATAAAAATAGCAAGAGAAATTTCCAGAAACTTATGTAATAAAATGAAGATATATAATTTTACCCAACAGAGAATTCAAAATATGGTCATTAAGATGGTTACTGAGGCCATAATAGCAATGCACAAATAAAATGAAAATTTCAACAAAAAGAAAAAATGTAAAAATGTGCCAAATATAAATTATACAGCTGAAGAATATAATAACTGAACTAAAAATATCAATAAAGGGTTCAACAGCAGACTAGATCAAGCAGAAGAAATAATCAAAGGTAGGTAACTGGAAATTATTGAATCAGAGAAGCAAAAAGAAAAAAGAATGAAGAAAGAATGGAGAATGGTAGTGTGGACCCATAGTCCCTCAGGATGCTGAGGATGGGGGATAACTTGAGCCCAGGAGTTTGAGTCCAGACTGAGCAATATGAAGAGAATCTGTATCTTTAAAAAAATTTTTTTAAAAAGAGTGAAGAGACCTCTTCTGAATACTATCAAGCAAAACAACATATGCATTGTGGGAGTTTTATGAGAAGAGAGAGACAAAGGGAAAAAAGCTTCTTCAAAGAAATAATGGCTGAAAATTTTGCAAATCTGGGAAAGAAAATAGACATCCAGATACAGAAAGCCCAGAGGATATCAAATAGGACAAAGACATACACGAAATACATAAGACACATTATAATCAAATTGTCAAAAGCCAATGACAATAAGAGAATTTTGAAAAGAGCAAGAGAAAAGCAACTCGTCACATGCAATGGAACCACCACAAGATCATCAGTGGGTTTGCCGCCCCACTCCACCCCAGAAGAAACCTTGCAAGACAGAAAAGAGTTTGATGACATATTCAAAGCACTGAAAGAAAAAAAAAAAACTATCAACCAGGAATATTACACCTGGAAAAACTATCCTTTAAGAATAAAGGGGAGGTAAGACTTTCTTAGACAAAAAGCTGTGGGAACTCATCATCACTAGACCCACCTTAGAAGAAATGCTAAAAGGAGTTCCCCAAGTTGAAACAAAAGGACAGTAAACAGCAATACGATAGCATATTAAAGCATACGACTCATTGGTAAAGTTAAATATATAGACAAAACCAGAATAGTGTATCACCATAATGGTCATAGGTAAATCAGTTTCAATTCTAGTATAAAAGTTAAAAGATAGAAGTATTCAAAAATAAGTATAACTAAAATTATGTTTATGGGTATTCAATATAAATAGCTATAAGTTGTGACATCAGTAACATAATGTGAGGGAGGAGAAGTAAATGTATAATTTTTTATGCAAGTGAAGTTAAGTTGCTATTAGCTTAAACTAGAGTATTATAGCAATGAGATATTTTATGCAAGCTTCTCGAAAACTACAAAGACAACAACTATCGTTATTACACAAAAGAAAAAGAGATAGGAATCAAACCCTATTAATACAAACAAAAACAACATAAAACAATGAAACACAAAGGAGGACAGCAAGAGACAAAAAGAGGGAGAAAACAACTACAAGACAAACAAAATAGTTAACAAAATGGCAATAGTAAATCATTGCCTATAAACAATTAACTAAATGGATTAAATTCTTGAATCAAAAGACAGAGTGGCTAATAAATTTTTAAAATGCTGTCTACAAGAAACTCACTTTAGAGTTAAGGATGCACACAGGTAGAAAATACAGGGGTAGAGAAAGATATTCCATGCAAATGTTACCCAGAGAAAGCAGGTACAGCTACATTTATATTGCATACACAAGATTTTAAGTACCTATAAATATTTAAATAATCAGGTAGTAATAAAAAGTGAAGTAGGAATTTAAAAACCTCCCAACAAAGAAAAGCCCAGGACTAGATAGCTTCTCAAGT